>NC_000001.11:212578526-212730041 GCF_000001405.40 Homo sapiens
AGAAATTTTCTATCTGGTGCATTTTAAATTTCAATGTTTATACTAATCATTTCTGAGGTTTTTTTTAGTTGGCTCTTTTTTCTACCTTTAACCGGGAGTAGAATCTTGTCCTGACTATTCACTTTGTTGGCTGTCTTCCTTAGCATTAGATTTCTTCATGTATTTTGAAAGCTGAGTTTGCAGGCTCATTTCAGGGGAAAGTGATGTTTGTTTTGTTTGGTTTTCTGTCTTTTTCTCCCTCACTCGGTGCTCATCCCTCCTTCTTCTCCACTATTGCAGTGGTCCACTCAGCCCTCCAGCTCCCCGTCCCAGAACCAGAGTCTCTGGGGGCATTTCAGGGTTACTGTTGCTCAGTGACGATAGGGACAGAGCAGACCCAGGCATGGACTCATTCCCAACCACCAGGCTGTGTCTGTGTCCTTCCACACCCCTAGACAAGCAACTTCTAGGAGCTAGAGCCCCAGGCAGCTCTCTGGAGACTTTTTTTTTTTTTTTTTTTTTTTGAGACAGAGTCTCACTCTGTTGCCCAGGCTGGAGTGCAGTGGCACAATCTCAGCTCACTGCAACCTTCACCTCCCAGGTTCAAGTGATTCTCCTGCCTCAGCCTCCCGAGTAGCTGGGATTACGGGCATGCACCACCATGCCTGGTTAATTTTTGTATTTTTAGTAGAGACGGGGTTTCACCATGTAGGCCAGGCTGGTCTCAAACTCCTGACCTCAGGCAATCCACCTGCCTCAGCCTCCCAAAGTGCTGGGATTACAGGCATGGCTCCCAGACTTCTGGAGCCTTTTTATTTAGCCTTCCTTTCCAAGCTTGGGAAACTCAGTTCCATGTACCTTCCCCATCATAAAACTCTAAGCACCACAAAGAGCAGGGCAGTATATATTTTTTTATTACCAGCATATCCCCAGTGCATAAAATAGTGCCAACACATGGTAAACTGAGTGAATGAATGATGGCTAACATGTCAAAAACTGAAGGACTGAACCTTTGGAGTTTAATCTGGAGCTTTGTTTACTCCCAGTCCCTCTGGGGGAACGGTCAGCCTAGTACACAGCCCAACTTTTATCTGTAGAAGAGAAGACGCATTGGTGTAAGAGTTAAAAGACCTTGGTTTTAGGGCTGGCTCTGCCCTTGCCTAGTTAAGTCACGTAATCACCCTAAATCCAGGATTCCTCTTCTGTAAAATGAGTATCTCATGGTAGAATAACAATGCTGTATCCAGATGTGATGGCTGCTTCATTAGCCTGGGCTCTGAGAAAAACAGCAGATCCCAGCCGATGTGGAGTAGGGTGAATGAGAAATAAACTATCTTGGTTAAGAAACAGATTTGTAGACTGGGCACAGTGGCTCACGCCTGTAATTCCAGCACTTTGGGAGGCCGAGGCAGGTGGATCATGAGGTCAGGAGATCGAGACCATCCTGGCTAACATGGTGAAACCCCGTCTCTACTAAAAAAAAAAAAAAAACTTAGCTGGGCCTGGTGCTGTGTGCCTGTAATCCCAGCTACTCTGGAGGCTGAGGCAGGAGAATCTTGCCTCTCAGGCTTGAACCTGGGAGGCGGAGCTTGCAGTGAGCCGAGATCGAGCCATTGCATTCCAGCCTGGTGACAAAGCTAGACTCCGTCTCAAAAAAAAAGAAAGAAAGAAACAGTTGTAGAGTTGTTTGTTACTACAGCATAATTTAAGCTATACTGATGGATACAATTACTTACTTGTATCCTTCTTCTCTACAGAGTGTGAGCTCTATTGGGAGGAAGAATGCTTTCATTTTCACTACTGTTTACTTTCAAATTTCCACTTTTTTTTTTTTTGAGATGGAGTCTTGCTCTGTTGCCCGTGCAGTGGCACGATCTCTGCTCACTGCAACCTCCGCCTCCCAGGCCCAAGTGACCCTCACACCTCAGCCTCCTGAGTAGGTAGCACTACAGGTGCATACCACCACACCAGGCTAATTTTTGTATTTTTAGTAGAGACTGTTGGCCAGGCTGGTCTCGAACTCCTGAGTTCAAGTGATGATCCACCTGTTTTCACCTCCCAAAGCACTGGGATTACAGGCGTGAACCACCATACCCAGCCTTCACTTTCTTATGTAATATATGATAGTCATTCTTCACTCTGTGTTCACTACTGAGGACAAACATTAAAATCCAGTAATTATCCCACATTTGCAGCACTCTAATTTTCTGAGAAAATTGTGACATTGTCTAGGATTTCCAAAACTGTAGTAATATATTTTGTTTGTTTATTTATTTATTTTGAGACAGAGTCTCGCTCTGTCACCCAGGCTGGAGTGCAGTGGCACAATCTCAGCTTACTGCAACCTTCACCTCCCGGGTTCAAGTGATTCTCCCACCTCAGTCTCCCGAATAGCTGGGATTACAGGTGCCCCCCACCATGCCCGGCTAATTTTTGTATTTTTAGTAGAGACAGGGTTTCACCACGTTGGGCAGGCTGGTCTCGGACTCCTGGCCTCAAGTGATCTGCCCAACTTGGCCTCCCAAAGTGATGGGATGACAGGCGTGCGCCACTGCACCTGGCCATATAATAGTATATTTTACAGTGCTGTGGTACTTTTTCCAGAGAGGGATGGGAAGACAAAACTTTTGACTTGGATATAATTTAAAGTTTTCATGAGGACATGCAACACGGTTATGTGACTCAGTAACACAGTGCTGCCTAAGGGCTGGCGCGTGCGCAGGTCTGCCGGCCCCTGCAGGGCTCTTGGAGTTCTTGGTCTTGTGTCTCAGTGGGGTTTCTGCTCGTATGCTCTCAGTGTACCTGACTTTAGTGGAAGTCCTAGCCACATTCCTAGTTTGTTCCCCTGCACCTGCTTGAGACAGAAAGTCAAAAAACCAAGACCTTTTTGAGTAGATATGTAAGAAAAGCTCAGCAGTGCCCTGAGTGAACTGCATGAACCCATGGCATTTCTTATGGGTGTCATAGGAGTTTTATTTTGTTGTTGATGACGTTGTTTGTGTCAATGGAAGAATGTTTTATGGAATTTGAAATACAAAAACTGTTTGTGGTTCCTTAGACACTTGCACTGCAATAGAAAATTATACTTTATCGTAAAATTAATGGTTTGAAGAGAAATAGACAGCATAAACAAAATATGGTCCATACTATGAAAATGCAAACCATACAATGGTGATTTTGATTTTCATAAAATGAAAATCCTAAAATAATTACTCAGTACCCAGAGACATACTTAATATATACATGTGAAATATCTTACACACAGATATAATAAAAGCTTGCCAGCATTTTGATATTTGAAGTTTTCAGATACATGGCTTCTAGATAAAGGATATAATTGCATATTCTTAAGGAAATATAGTTTTATTATTTTCGAGGAATAGACATCAGAACTCAGTTAAGAGGATGCTATTTGGGGTCTTCTTTTAATGAATATAAAAAAAGCAATTCATAACAAGCACATTGGTTTCTGAGTAAAATGAAGCTTCTGAAATGTGTGAAGAATGCTTGAAAACAATGTTTTGTAAGCCAGTGAAACATCTCCCTTCCCCTCACTTACAGGATTGCAAAATTTAGCAAATGAAAATACATCAGGCCCAGGTAAGCATGAATTTCAAATAGAAACAAAGAATTTTTAGTGTACTATATCCCAAACATTGAAGGGGACAGACTTATATTTGCGATTTATCTGGAATTCACACTTAACTGGGTGCTCCGTACTTTATCTGGCAACCCTTCCCACCTCAGAAGTTAACCTTCATTGTGCACCACCTTTTAGGAAGGAACCAGGCCAGCCTCTGTAAATTCTGTATTGGTGAGCTCGTATTAATGCATTTTCTTTTGCACATCTTGAGGCTCATAAAGAGACTGAAGTCGCCAACCAATGGCTCTCAAACCCAATGCACCCTGGCAAAGCAAAGCAGGGCAGCCTTCAGAACTTCTCCAAGGGGAGGGCTGTGTGGGTTCTCCCCCACAAAGCTCTATTTTAGTCACAGTCATTAGTGCTGGAGAAAACACACACTGGTCATGGGATTCACCTTTTGCCATGTCGCAAGAAAGTCAGTAAAATAATGCCTGAAAGAAGGCTTGGGCTTCCGTCCCCTGCACTGAGCACTCTGGTAGTAACCTTCTGAAACATGCCTGTGCGTTTTTTTCAACAGTCAAAGCTCCTGACATCTCTCCCTGCAGAGGGATTGAGCAGCACTTTTAAACCAGAGACTGAGTGATTTCAGGCAAGTATTCCGGCCTTTCCATGAGACCTGCACTTAGGAGAAAGGAGGGGAAAGGCCAACTTGACTGAGCTCTTGATAGAAATACATTTGCTTACTTAATCTTCATTAGCTCCCGCTGAAGTATAATTCTCAGTTTACACACCGAGAAACAGAGGCTCAGAGAAGTCAAGCTGTTGCCGAGTCGCAGAGCCAGTAGCAGAGCTTGGATTCCAATCCAGGTCTCTTGGGTTGCAAAAGGCTGACCCCTATTTCCATGGTACCACCCTTCATCTCTCCAGGGAAAGGGAAAGCGCTAAAGAATGCCAGGGTTATGGAATGTTCTAGGGGAGAGCATAGGCTGTCATGGGGCAGGCTCACTCCTAACTGGTTTCTGAGAGAAGAATATGAGGTATAACAAAATGAAAATGGGCTTCATAGCTAGACACTTCAGTGTCTGAAGCCTGCCTCCACTGCTTTTTAGCTGTGTGACTTTGTTACCTAATTTCTCTCTCTGTTTTTTTTTAAGTGATGGGATCTCGCTATGTTGCCCAGGCTGGTGCAGTGGCTGTTCACAGGCATGCTCATAGTGCACTACACTCTGGAACCCCTGGGCTCAAGTGATCCTCCTGTTTCAGCCTCCCGAGTTTCATTTCTCTTTATCAGTCAAGATGCCAGCAGGAAACTGATGGCACACACAGCAGGTTTAACTGAGGAGAGTTTAGCAAAGGGACTATTAACTGAGGCTTGGGCAGGATTACAGGAACCCACAGGGGATGGTGAAGCACTGAGGAACTAGTAATTGCAGAAAGCTGTCACCACCCAGGCCTACAGGGCAAGAGGAGGGAATATTTTATTGGATCCTGTTGAAAGCTGGCATCATGGACAAGGGCCAACTGACAGGGGCTGTGGCCCTGAAGAAACACGACCACTGTCGGAACAAAACCCTGGAACAGAGGTCCCAACCTTGACCTCTCTCCTTCCCTAGCCAGCAGTGCAGGTTATAAGTCTGTAGAGTTTAGCCCCTCAGGGCACAGAGGAGGGCAGGAAGTGGATGGAAGGGGTGGGGCATAGTAATCGGAGAATAACAACACTCCCGCTGGGCATCAGTTTCCTTTTTTTAAAATGGGAATCATAGTATCTACCATGTGGCATTGTTGTAAAGATTAGAAATACATAGACTGACGCATTCAACAGGTATTTACCAAGTATCTACCATATCCTGGGCTCTCTCCCACAGATACAGTGATGACCAAAACAGACCGTATCTCTGCCCTCATGGTAGGTGAAACGCAAGAAAGCCAGACGTTACATAAGTATTTACAAGGGGGAGGAGATAAAATATCACCTCTCACACACAGGGTACTCATAGTACTTGTAAATAGTAGCTATAATTATTTCTTAAAGTCCCCCAAAGAGACCTATGCTGCATACCACTTCTTGATTTCTTATACCAATATGTATTTATGAACAACTTTTACCGTCCGGACAGATTTTCTCCCACTGGAATACAAAGTTCTGAGCATCCTGAAAGCAGAAAACAGCTGTTACTCCCTGTGTTAGTCAGGGTTCTCCAGGGAAACAAAACCAATAAGATGCATGTGTATAAGAGATTTATTGTAAGGGACTTGGCTCATGCAATTATGGAGGTTGGTGGGCCACTAGATCTGTAGTCAGCAAGCTTGAGGAGCCAATGGTGCAGTTCCAGTCTGAGGCTGGGAGGCTCAAGACCCAGGAGGAGCTGATGTTTCAATTCAAGTCCAAAGGCAGGAAAAAACTGATGTCCCAGCTCAAAGGCAGTCAGGCAGGAGGAGTTACCTTTTACTCAGCCTTTTTGCTGTCTTCAGGACTTCAGACAACTGGATGAGGCCTACCTACAAGGGGGAGGACGATCTGCTTCCCTTGATCCATCAGTTTAAATGCTAAGGTCACCCAAAATGCCCTCACAGAAACACCCAGAATCATGCTTGACCAAATAACTGGGCACCCCATGGCCCAGTCAAGCTGACACATAAAATTCATCATCATGCTATGCTGGAGTTAAAATTCTTTATAAAGTTGTCCCTCACTTTCCCCTTCCTGCCTAACATGGCCTCTCTCTTTCACCTGGAGTCTCTCCAAGTACGGCTCCCGGGCCACCTGGATGGAACCTTTGTGGGAACTTTCTGGTCACTCAGATAGCAGGGCCCCAGGCAGGCTTTGTGTGTGAGGATACCTGGGACAGAGACTCAGAAATCTGCATGGTAAACACAGCCCTGTGGCTGCCCATTCTCCAGCCCTGTGATCACCTTATGGTGTCCCCTCTCCAACCTGTCAGATACCAAAAGGAGGAGAAGAGAAACCCTACAAGATAAGATGTGTTCTGAGTGTCGGAGGGGTGGGAGGGCCTCTAAGGGGACAGAGAGAAGTGCCTGAATAGTGAGGCAGATCCACAGGATGGTGAGAGAAAGGATTACTAACAGAGCTGGGGGGTGAAAGGTGAGCGGGGCTCCTGTGTGTGGCAGCTCTGGGGCTGCTGAGCCCAGGGGACGTGAAGGCGCTGCTGGAGCCTCCTACCTGTCGACCTCTCCAGACTCAGCCTGGCTTCCTCTGCCTTGCCCCCGTGCCCAGTCCTGGCGAACTTCCTTCAGTTCATCAAACAGCTGAATCCCTTCCTGCCTCAGGACCTTGGCTGGTGCTGTTGCCTCTGCCTAGAGCCCTCTTCTTAGGATTCTCTGCATGGCTGGCACCTTCTCCTTCAGGCTTCACCATCAGAGGAGCTCTCTGTGGAGGGGCCACCTCAAACCACCCCATCTGATGTAGGGGCTTGCCTCTGTTTTCCCGGAGAATTTATGAAGACATGTGGTTTTAAAGATTTATCTGTGTGTGAAGCAGGAGCAAGTTTCATAGGCCACATATTCATGTGTGCAAAACTGTAATCGATTATATTTTGTAATTCTTAGTTTCTGAACCCTCCCTCTGTCACAGAAAACAGAGTCTTCTTCAGATAAACTCAGCCAAATGAAGGGTTACAGGATCATTTCTGGTTATCGACCTAGGCAGATTTTCTCCCATTCTTCCTGGAGGGGTCTCAGTTCTAGGTGTGTGTGTGTGTGTATGCATGTAATGAGGGTTACTTTTGCCCTGGTGCCAAGAGAGAGAGGCACCTGCTCCATGGTTGTTGCTCTTTGTCCACAGTGGCTTTGTTGAGGTGTGAGGTTCCCCGGGCCTTTAGTCATTGGCACCCATCCTCCTGACTTCCTCCCAAATGACCCAGGATATGTTGTGGTCTCCAGTGGCCTTGGCATTCTCCTTTTCCCAAAATTGTTGGGTCCTCCAGCCCCTCTCAACCCTCTGGGGTCCTGCCCGTGGGCAGGGGAGGTCCTGGCTCCTTTTTTTGCACCAGACTGTGAGTCTGTCCTCAGCCTGGATGCCTCACTCAGCCATGCCTCTTCTACCTTCACACACAGGATTCTGGGGGAAGTTACCTGTGGAAGGGGGCTCAGGGCACCTCCATCCTGGGGTTCCCTAATTTGTCATGAAGTTTCTATTATCTCTTGACCCAGAGCTTGACTGGGGAAGGAGGACACACACAGGCAGCTCCCCTATGTCTCCCTCTCCCCTTTCTCCCTTTCTGCTAAGCTGGTGAATTTTTATTTGGGGCAAGCCAGTGGGAGGGAATACTCTTCTTAGGACATGGCACTTTCTTCCTCTTTGCTGCTCAAAGTGCAGAGTTAATGACGTAGCAGTGACTCCATGGGGCATCTTCAGCACCAAGAGCAATGCCTGGCATGCAGTGAGCACTAAAGGAGTATTCGGTGAATGAATGAATGACTACATCGGTATGAGTTTGCCATCTTGAATAATATTCCTGCCCTGAATAACTTTGGAGAAAGTGCCAAAGAACTTCATTTGGTGAGAATTTCCAATCTCCACCACAAAGTAGCTGTCATCCATGCCTCAAGAGTGACAGCATGAGCCCTCTGGAAGCCAGACATGAATTGACGTGGGAGAAAATAAACATGTGAAGTGCTGAGCTGGCAACATGCCCCAGTTACCTTTGAATTTTATGGGAAGGCAAAAAATAACCAACAGTTATCACGCTAAGCCTTAAAAAGTGACTTTTTGATCAGGTCAGTGCTGCAACCTTAAGAATCCCAAAGGTAATTGATGGGGAGCCAATTCTCAGTTTCACCCAAGTCCCTGCAGGGCCCTGGGGAAAGTACAATGAGCAGCTTCTTACTGTGAAAGTGACGCTGGGCTGGGCCCTCCGCAGGGCAGAGGAGCCCTCCAGGTGCAGAGAAGCTCTGGGGACTTTCTGTCTCTGACGAATGAACATTTTCACCAACTCTGACACAAGTTTTGCTTTTTTCTCTTAAAGTGGAATGGGTGAGTTAGAGGGAAGGCGGGAGAAGAAGATTACGTTTCGGAGAAGAGCTTCCAAGTTGAAAACAATGGAAGCTAAAAAATAGAGGAAAGTGATGTATTTAAAAGACCGTGTTTGATAGAATCCTACAATAATAATACCGTGCTTAAATTATACATAATTGGCGTTCAATAAATGCTTGGGATGAATACATTAATAAATGAAGAATATTTGTACCTATGAGTTTTTATCTGCATTAGACAGACTTTATGGAAAGCTGACCTGAGAACTAAAATATTCCTTTATGATATTGTTTCTATGGGAAAATATGTTTTGCATTCCAAACAACTGACTTGTGAGTGGGCTTTTGCAGAAGTCAGGATTGCTGCCATGGGGGTGGGTTATGTGACGCAAACCACAATCTCTAGTCTGTACCTCTTGTGACCAACCCACATGCTTAGAAGCCCACAGGCTGGACTCAGGGAAGCTGCCATTGGTCAAGGAACAAAGTTTTGCTAACACGGAAATACCCCAGAATATGAACTTAAAACACAGGGCAGAAAACAGTAAATAAAATCCAGCCTTTCCATTGAAATAAAATCCAGCCTTTCAAATGGAACTTCAGTTGTAACTCCAGTTAAAATGAAGCATTAACCGTTCATTCACTCACTCATACATATGTGTGTATCTCCTGCCTTTCGTCCCAAGTATCCTGCAAATAACTCTGCAGGGATTTAAAAAATGAATTATCTTAAAGGACAGACAGGACAGGAAGACAGATAACAGCAGACAAGAGATGTCAACAGAATTGTGGGAAATGGGGAGTGTGGGATACGGTGCCTGTACTTAGTTTAGCAATGCAGCAGTGCAAGCGAGGCACCTGCTGGGGCGGCGGGGGTGGGGGCGGGTTTCATTCCCTCTGTAGACCCCTGTGAGACTCAGCATGTGGGGTGACAGCGATTATGGGAGGTGAGTGAGAGGGAGAATGTTGAGACCAGGGAAAATTAGCCATTAAGTCTGACTCAATTTTGCTTTCCTCGGTAGCTTCTTCTACCCCTGCAGCCAGGTGTCTATCCCTCTCTCCTTGAGAAGCTTGTTTTAAGGAGACATTGAAACCCAACAGAAGAGGCTTAGGACTAGGAGACTCCCGGCAGGGTGTGGATTGGATGAAAACAAGGGGATTAATTGAAACTGCACGTTCTCCACTCCCCACCCTGCTCAGAAACAGCCCTAACCCGGCATGTTTCCACCAGCAACCACCAGGGAAAAGGTAGAACCAGTTGGCTCAAGAGTGAAGACAGGTTTGCTGACATTGTGTCCACCAATAAAGAATCACATCTCGTCACCCTAGGGTGTCACCACCGGGACACAAAATTCATTTCACACAAAGAGCTTTGGAGTCTCTTTTTAGCGCCTCATGCCTATCAGATTGGGGCAGCAGTAATTACCTTGTGGGTAGGATGAGAAGGACAGTTACTCTCTTTTTAAATTTAAATTTACTTTTTATCAAAGTAATACATGTACAGAGTTTAAAAACTCTAACAATACTATAAGGCTTATAATGAAAAAACAACAACCACAACAACAAAAAAACAGTCTCCCAGCTCATGCAACCCCACACCTGATTCCCACTCCCTGAAGGCAATTGCTTTCAATTCTTTTCACTGTATCTTCTCCATATTTATAAATCATGTGTGTATACTGCTCATTTCCTGATTTTTTCCATTTGGACATTATCTATTTCTTTCTTATTTTGGACATTTCGAATTTTGCTTTCTTCCTCCACCATCCACATAATCACTCCTTCAAATGCTCAAAATGATGCCATATTTTAGTCGCCTTCATACTTGGCAATAACTTCCTTTTCAAAAATATAAGTAATACATGTATATAGCTTTTTTGTGTGAATATGAAGACATATTTATATTTTTAAATAAAATTATTCTTCTAATCTGAAGCCATCTAAAATATAGCATCGCTTTGAACATTTGAACCCAGGTCATGAGAGAGAGTCTGTTTTTCTGCTTTCACTAGGCACATTCTCCTTGAAGTGGCCATGAGTGGTGACTGTGGCCGGGTGGAGAAATGTGATCCTAGCACACTCGGCATCACAGCACTCCCGGGTTGACACAGTCATAATAATGCAAACCTTGTCTATTAGCTCTCCACTCTTAAAATCAACCTACCCACAAAGCAAGGAAGACATGAGAATGGAAACAGAGCTCATTGTAAATGTTTTCATTCTTGATGCAAAATTAAAGGTACAAATAGCAGATAATGGGAGCAAGGGAGAGACAGAAGGGAACTGTGCTGATATCCTCAGCTAATGTACTAGGGAGTCAAAAGTTACTTTCTAGATGGAGGAAGAAATAGAAGGTTAAGTATATCATATAAGTGTACAGAGGGAACCCATAGAAGAACTAAATTATAAATAAAAAAGTTGGGGGAAAGGAATAAGAGATTATGTTCAATTTTATAGAGGTGAGTCCAAAGAGCACCTGTAATCCCAGCCATTTGGGAGGCTGAGGCAGGAGAATCGCTTGACCCCAGGAAGGTGGAGGTGGCAGTGAGCCAAGATTGCACCACTGCACTCCAGCTTGCACAACAAGAGTGAGACACCGTCTCAAAAAAAAAAAGAAAGAAAAAGAAGAAGAAAAAAAGAATGTCTTAAATTGACCAAGAAACTGTTTTTAAAAAGTCACATAAGCTAATTGATCGGTCCTGATCACTGACTCTTGGTCAACTTTTTTTTTTTTTTTTTAAGGAAAAAACAAAACTTCAGTTTAACGTTTCTGCAATGCAAGCTTGTGATTTATGATTACTCTCTAAGTGGATATCAGGATTGTTATGAAGACTTAAGGCCCAGTATTTTTTAATAGAATACTCATCTAGGATGTAACAGTGAAGCTGAGTAAACTATAACTGTTAAACTTAAGTTCCAGCTTTTCTCAAGTTAGTTATAGGATGTACTTAAGCAGTAAGTGTATTTAGGTAAAAGCAGTTGAATTATGTTAAATGTTGCCCTTTGCCATGTTACATTGAACACTGTTTGGTTGCATGTTGAAAGACATGCTTTTATTTTTTTGTAAAACAATATAGGAACTGTGTCTACAATTAAAAGTGAAACATTTTGGCATGTTTGTTAATTCTAGTTTCATTTAATAATCTGTAAGGCACGTAAGTTTAAGCTTTTTTTTTTTTAAGTTAATGGGAAAAATTTGAGACACAATACCAATACTTAGGATTTTGGTCTTGGTGTTTGTATGAAATTCTGAGGCCCTGATTTAAATCTTTCATTGTATTGTGATTTCCTTTTAGGTATATTGCGCTAAGTGAAACTTGTCAAATAAATCCTTTTAAAAACTGCAAAAAAAAAATGTCACATAAGCATACTTTTTGGAGTTAGGAAGTTCACCATCCAAATAATTTTTAAAAGAGGTCGTTAAAGGTAGTAGTCTCTGGTTGGTGGCATGTGTGTGGGGTGAGCCCTGCTAGTTTTCAGTATAAACACTTCCTTATAATCTGATTTCTTTTATCTCGTGCATATATTACTTCAATTTTTAAAACGTAACAGGTGGAAATACTCAAAAATTGAATTCAGTGTGAACACAGAGCCATAAATGCGGATACTCATTTTGCAACGGCCATCTGTATTATTGTGCCATCAGAAATTGCACATTTCCCAGGCACCACTTTGAATGGTAATATAAGCTTAATGGGTCTCCTGTTGAAAGACTTACCGAGTTAGCGTTGGATATGGGCAGCATTAGGGAAGCAGGATAATGTACTTTCATGGCTCTTACTATAAGGTAAGGGCGCCAACCACTTAGATGAGGAGGAAAGACCTCACAGAAGTGAAAAATATTCCTTTATCATGTGCCTGGTTTCTTGTGCATCTTTGCAAAGAACATGGCTCTTGGTAGCCTCTCAGTTTGTTGAAAGAATACAATTCATAGCAATACACACAAGACCGTCCACCATCTGATCCCAACTTTTTCAGCCGCCTCTTCCCCTGTATCCTGTACCAGGGACATGTGGCTGCTCTCCCTTTCTGGAGAGATACATACTCCTTTATGCTTCCATATCTTTGCATATTCTGATCCTCTACTTGGAATGCTTTTCCCCACCTTCTTAAGGGCATGTGTTAAGACCCATCTTCCTAACGGAGCCTCCTGCACCGCAGTCTCCCCAGGCTCCTTAGACAGAGAGGTCCTCTCCTGACTGTTCTTGCCAGCCTGTGACATTCTGTTCCTCAACTATATTCAACAACTGCCACCAGGCTCCTCTTGCAAGGGAGAAAATCTAAAGTGATATCTTGGCTTATGTCTGTGGGAAAAATATAATCCAGAAGCTCAGGAAACCAGTTGAGAAGGTCATTGAGATGTTCTGGCAAGAGCAGAGGTCAGGATGTAGTTTTGAAAATGTAAGTGCTCTTTAGACACTCGATGGCCAAGGATTGGCCATGGGGAATGCTCTCCATCCCCCCCGCCCCAGTCCATTGTGTGCACTCTTCCAATCAGCTGGGCTCAGCTACGTTTGTGGGCAGATTTGCACTGTATTCATTTATCCTTGATAGTAAGGCATTCTGCAGTCATTTTTAAACTTTTTAATCATGGGAATTTGCAAACGTACACATATAAATCCTCATATACCTGAAATCCAGCTTTAACGATTATCAATACTTTGCCAATCTTATCTCATCTCCCCTTCCGCACACTTTTCTTTTATGGGGTGGTAGGGTAGGATGGGCATTTTTTAAATTTTTATTTATTTATTTATTTTTTGAGAAAGGGTTTCATTCTGCTGCCCAGGGTGGAGTGCAATGGAGCGATCTCGGATCACTGCAACCTCCGCCGGGTGGGAGTATTTTAAAGCAAATCATAGGCATCGCAGAGTATGTTTCTAACAGATAAGGACTTCTTTTAAAATTGCGGTACAAAGTACATAACATAAAATGTTCTATTTTAACCATTTGCAAGTGTACAATTCAGTGGCATTAAGTACCTTCACACTGTGTGCAACCATCACCACCATCTGTCTCCAGAACATTTGCATCATAAACTGAAACTCTGTACCCATTAAACAATAACTCCTCATTTCTCCCTCAACCTAGCCCCTAGTAACCACTATTCTACTTTCTGTCTCTGAATTTGACCATTCCAGACACTTCATCTAAGTGAAATCATACAGCATTTTTAAAAATCTGGTTTATTTCACTCATGTTTTCAACGTTCATCTAAGTATTTTATTCCTTTTAAAGACTGATAAGGGCTTTTAAGATAATAATCACAACATATCTAAAAAATTTAATAATAATTTTCTAATATCATCGAATTAGCTAATCTATGTTCACGTTTCCAAAAGTATGTCTTTAAATGTCATTTTACAGTTAGACAGAATCAGGATCCTAACAAGGTCCACACATTATATTTGGTTGATATGTCTCTTAAGTCTATTTTAACCTACCATATTCTTTCTCCTTATTTTTCATGCTATTTATTTGTTGAAGAAATGAGTTAATTTGTCCTGTAGAATTTCCCTCATTCTGGATTTGGCTGATTACATCCTCAGCATTGTTTAACCATTTCCTCTATCCTCTGAATTTCACAAAAACAAATGGTCAGATCTAGGGGCCGGATTGCATTCAGGTTCAACTACTTTGGTGGGCTGTGTGCTTTCTATTACATCACAGCAAGAGGCCCTTGTATCTGATGGTCTCACTTCTTGAGATAGTAAAACAGATCTGTGGGTTTGGGTGCTGCCAGCCCGATACATCCATTGATAACATGGCATTTAAAGATAAGTGTTCTTGGTAAGAGTGGCAATTCCTCAGGGTTCTAGAACTAGAAATACCATTTGACCCAGCCATCCCATTACTGGGTATATACCCAAAGGAATATAAATCATGCTGCTATAAAGACACATGCACATGTATGTTTATTGTGGCACTATTCACAATAGCAAAGACTTGGAACCAACCCAAATGTCCAACAGTGATAGACTGGATTAAGAAAATGTGGCCCATATACACCATGGAATACTATGCAGCCATAAAAAAATGAAGAGTTCATGTCCTTTGTAGGGACATGGATGAAACTGCAAACCATCATTCTCAGCAAACTATCACAAGGATGAAAAACCAAACACCGCATGTTCTCACTCATAGGTGGGAATTGAACAGTGAGAACACATGGACACAGGAAGGGGAACATCACACACCGGAGACTGTTGTGGGGTGGGGGGAGGGGGTAGGGATAGCATTAGGAGATATACCTAATGCTAAATGACGAGTTAATGGGTGCAGCACATCAACATGGTACATGTATACATATGTAGCAAAACTGCACATTGTGCACATGTACCCTAAAACTTAAAGTATAAAAAAAAAAAGTGTTCTTGGGTGTGGTGGCTCATACCTGTAACCATAGCACTTTGAGAGGCTGAAGTGGGAGGGTGGCTTGAGCCCAGGCATTCAAGACCAGCCTGGGCACCAAAGTGAGATCATCTGTACTAAAAAAAAGAAAATTAAAAAATTAGCCAGGCATGGTGGCATGTGCCTGTAGTCCCAGCTATTTGGGAGGCTGAGGCTAGAGGATCACTTGAGCCCAGGGGATCAAGGCTGCAGTGAGCTATGATTGCCCTAATGCACTCCAGCCTGGATGATAGAGAGAGACCCTGTCTCTTTAAAAAAAAAAAAAAAAAAAAAAAAAGTGTTCTTAAGACTTTGTAAATGATTGTAAGCATACCTATGTGTCTGTGTCTCTATTTATATCAGTCACCATTCTTAGCCCTAGGGCTGTCTTTATTTTTCTGTAGATCTTTAAAACTCCCCAAAGTCCCTGTTCAATCTGTGATGTTGAGTAGCCACTCCTGGAATTCTTGAGCTCTCAGATTTCATGTAAGATAGCACCCTATTTCCAATTAGTCCTTGAGTTGCCTGCACATGGGTGCTCACTCAGAGTCACACACATCCACCTGGAAGGAATCATCACCCACCTGCCTTGGTAGCCTGTTCCAATGTCTAAGCACTCCCAGAGCATAAGTCTTCCCTCTGTCTGGTCTAGCCCTCCCTGTGAAGTTAAATTCTGTTTCCTCCAGTTCGGGGCTCGGTGGAGCTGACGAGCAGCTGGCCAGCAGCCCCTGCAGATGAGGCCTGGGGAAATGATGCATGAGGCTAAGACACATTCCAGGTAGTCTACATGCTTCATGAATTTAATGGAAGACTGGCAAGGACTAGAATATGTTTTATTGCAACTTTCTAGCTGGGATTCATTATTTTTCTTTTAAAATTAAATACAAATAACTTATTTCTAAAAAGTAAATATTCAGAGACTATGAATGAAACAAACAAACAAAAAAGAAAACAAAAAACCTAACAATTTTCCAGAGTTGGCATTGTGCTTATTTTGTGCCTTTATAGATGAACAGAGTCCTACTGGTGTCAGATTTAAAAAGTCACTCTACCTCTTAAACATTTTGCCTTATTAGGGTGGAAGGGTCAAAGAGCAAGGAGGGAGAAGACAGAGCAGAGACACAGGGCAGAAGAGTCTCAGATGAGGGTGGCAGGGGTACAAGAGAGCCTGGGTCTATAGACAGAAACAGAGCATGTTGCTGAAACTGCCCAGACTCTTTATTTCAATCTCCAGTCTGTAAAATGGAGATGAAGCGCCCCGCCTGATCCCTTTTTAGGGTTGTGGGAGATGCAGAGGAGCTAATGGGTGTGAATGTGCTTTGTGGGCTGAAGCTACTGGGCCCCTTACAGGCCTACAGGTCAGGGGAAAGAAGAGAGTGTTGCCAGCACCTGTGAGCAGAATTAACCCATTGGCTGATTGCCTGGCCACCTGGACTTAGCATGTATTGAACTGAATACATGTGCAGGGGCTCACAGCCATTCCGATTCTAAAGACTGGTTAAGTTTCACAACAAAAACTGAGGATAATTGCAGGGTTGTCAATTATTGTTTTGCCATCTACTATTACAGTTATATTTATTTAAAAAGTAAAAGGATATTTTAATAATATCTCAACCACTGAGGATGGTAAGATGAGCAAAATAGGATACCCACTCCCAAGGAGTTCATAAAACTGTAGGGAAACACATGTATAAAAATATGTATATAAAGACCAAATAGATGTGTAGCCCCTAGGACTCTTTGGCTCGTTAGAAAAAACAGTACAAAATGGCTTAACAAAAAGTGGAGATTTGCCGGTTCATATAGCTGAAAACTCTGCAGAAAGTGTGGCTGCCACCCAGCTTGATATAGAGCCTCTTGGCTCTAACCTTTTTCTCCAGTTGCCCATGGCAACCTCAGCAGCCCCAGGCTACAGCCCCCTGCCTTCAAGTCCAGCTAGTGAGCTGCCTCCAGCAGCCCCAGCCCGGTGCTCCCGCAGCTCAGTGGCTCTACATGGATCCTGAGCCCCTTCCTGGACCAACCACAGTGGTCCCTGGCCTGGTTTGCTCTGACTGGTCACCCAATGCACAGGGACCGGAAATGTGCGGGGAGTGGCTTTCTCGGACGAAAACTGGGAAACCATTACTCGAATTGGGATGGATAGATGCTGAATGGCCAAGAAACAAAAATATCCTCTAAGAACTATGGGAACACAGAAAAGGTGCGTCCACGGCTAGCCTCATAAGCCGGATGACCTGTTCAGTCCCACCCTTAACAAGTTTCACATTGGCTTAATGCTCTGCTGTCACTGACTCAACATTCTTAATAATTTCTGAACAAGGGGCTCCACATTTGCGTTTGGTAATAGGCCCCACTAATTACATGGCTAGTCCTAGAGGTGACTAACATTATATTACCTACACAAGGAAGTGACTTTGAAACTGGATTTTGAAAGATATAATGAAACAGCAGTTTTGTAAATGGAAAGGTTTGGGTGGCAGGAGGAGGAGGAAATTCCATCATAGGCAAGAATGTTAGACGTGAGAGGCTTGATGAGAAAATGAAACCACTAGCGCCTCAAGTGGTTGGGGCTTAAAGTGACTGTGGGGTGTGGCCCCAGTGGAGTGGGAACAAAATATTCCTTCGATGAATTAATATTCCTTCAATGAATTAATAAACACAAGTGAAGTGAAATTTAACATGAGAAAAAATAGTTTATATTTTTTAAACCTCCATGATTCCAAATGGCCGTTACAAGATAACTCCTATTTTCCACCTCACTTTTCTACTGCACACTAAGGCTAACTTTCCCCTGTGTAACATAAGTGCCTACTGATCTTTATCACTAGCGTGTTAGCAAGGTTAGCATTCCACTTCTGTGATTTCACCATCCAAATATTTATGAATCAGAGAGATGTTTCTAAGAACATGTTTTCCAATTGTTTACTTTATAACAATAATAGTGTGCTTTAATTACAAAGATGACGTTTTACAACCTAAATAGAACAAGCCTCAGTTGTGTGGGAGTTCATTGCTTTGGTGATAAAAGAGAAACACAGACAGTGACTCAGGTGGAACATTCGTTTCATTTTCACTTTGTGTTTCCTTTGGTTCTACATGTCAGGACATGTAACAGAGCCAAGGCAGAAGAGTGCTGTGGGGGGTGTGAAAGTTAAAGCTAAGGCTCTATATGCCAGAAAGAAAGGACAATGTCCCCTCTCACCCACTGGCTCCCCTTTCAAGGCCAATGCCAAGGGGGAAAAAGAAGGTGGCTTCCCTCTGGCACATGAATGGTGAGCTAGTTAACAGTCAGTGTTTTGTTCCCAAATTCTTTAAAGGAATGCTGAAGAGATAACACTGGTTCTTCTGAATTGAGAATCTCTTTGAATTCCCACTGCTGTCTTATTTCCATTTAAATTAAGCTTAAGAGGAGAAATTAATGTTGGGGTATCTGCTAAGTGCCCAGTGTGGAGCCTCTTTCTGTCTTGTTCATTCTTGGATGTCCAGCTCTTGAACAATGCCAGGCATACAGTAGGCACTCAATACATACACGAGGAATGAGTGTATGAATTTATTCCTCACAGCACTTTTATGTGAGGAAGATGCGGGGGCAATCTTCAGATAAGAAAATAGACATTAAGTGTTGGAAATTGAGAGAAAGAGGTGGTTTGTCCAGCAAGGCATGTCCAACACAGACAGAGACAATATGGGGCCTCCTCGGTGACTCACTTTTATGTGACTAGGTATGTGTCTCTTCTGTAGAAACTTGGTCAATAGGGAATGACGACAAGAAAAAAGGGGCCCTTAGAAAATAATATCACCATCATGATCATCATCTTCATCATCGACTGTAGACACAGCGCTTATAATCACAAAATTGAAGAACTGTAAGGAATTTCAGAATTTATAATAATAGAAGCTCCCATTTACTAATGTGTTGTTATATTCTGGGTACTGAGTTACATCTATTTATCTATCTATCTATCTATCTATCTATCTATCATCTATCTCTCTATCTAGCTAGCTATCCATCCATTCATCTATCTAGCAATCATCTATCTTTTCACCCCCTGCCCCATATCAACCCTGCAAGGTGGGTCGTATTAGCTTTATGTTCAATGTTCCAGGCCAGTAAGTGGCAGAGGTTGAGACTCTTGCTGCCTTCTGGAGCCCTTCCCTTAGCACAGCCTCCTTGACTAACACAGGAGGAATTTGACCCTCAGAGAGGGACCTCAGGTTTCTCAGCTAGTGCAGAACCAGAACTTGAACCTTGGCCCGAGTGTTGTTTCCACTTACCACAGTGTTCTCAGTGTAGATGAGTACACTTTGGATTTCTTTCCGTTTCGCTTATATAAGTCACTATGAGGTTTAGCAGGACAAAAACTGAGCTTATTGAAGATTAATTCATCATTCCATCTCCTACCTTAGAAACAATTTTATTCTTTCCTGGATTCCATCTCAGCCCCTGGCACATGGTAGGCATTCAAGGAGTGCTTGATACATAATTAAGCCAGGATTTGATTTGGATGGAATCTCAGTCTTAGGTACCCCTTAATGGCAGGACTGGAAAAAAGTAGGCAAATACACTCTTCGAAAGACACACAGTAATATTAGTTTTTGCCTTCATGAAAGTTTATACTTTCATCTTTTAAGAATTAACACATCCGCACTATAGAACAATGGGATAATTCAGAAATATATAAGTAGAAGAGAAAAAAAGTTACCCACCCATACTTCCAACAACTAAATACTTTTAATATTTTATGGAAATTTCTTTATTTCCCTTATTCTACGTATTTTGTTGTTTATTTATAGCTTTTATTGAGTTATGATTGTTCTGTGTTGATATATATCTTACTTTTTAAAATTTATTTATTTTTAACTTTTATGGGTACATAGTAAGTGTGTATGTTTATGGGGTACATGAGATACTTTGATACAGGCATGCAAGATGGAATAATCACATCTTGGGAAATGGGGTATCCATCCCCTTAAGCATTTATCCTTTGTATCTCAATCCAATTATACTCTTCTAGTTATTTCTAAATGTACAAGCAAATTATTTTGACTACAGTCACCTTGCGGTGCTATCAATAGTAGGTCTTATTCATTCTAACTATTTTTTTGTAACCCATTAACCATCCTCACCTTCCCCCACCCCCATTACCCTTCCCAGCCTCTGGTAACCATCCTTCTACTCTTTGTGTCCATGGGTTCAATTGTTTTATTTGTAGATCCTGCAAATACGTGAGAACATATGATGTTTGTCTTTCTGTGCCTGGCTTATTTCACCTAACATAAAGACCTTCAGTTTCATCCATGTTGTTGCAAATGACAGTATCTCATTCTTTTTTATAACTGAATAGTACTCCACTGTGTATAAGTACCACATTTTCTCTATGCATTCATCTGTTGATGGACACTTAGGTTGCCTCCAAATCTTGGCTACTGTGAACAGAGCTGCAACAAACATGGGAGTGCAGATATCTCCTTGATATACTCATTTCCTTTCTTTTGGGTATATACTCAGCAGTAGGATTGCTGGATCATATGGTAGCTCTACTTTTGGTTTTTTGAGGAGCCTCCAAACTGTTTTCCATAATGGCTGTACTAATTTACATTCTCACCAACAGTGTACGAGGGTTAACTTTTCTGCACATCCTCACCAGCATTTGTTATTGTCTGTCTTTTGGATAAAACCATTTTAACTGGGGTGAGATGATATGTATCTTGCATTTAAAACCCACATTATCTCTACAGCATTCCCTAAGTTGTAATCTCTTTGTGAATATCTTTTAAAATAGTGGCATAGCACTGAAAAAAGACTTGTTTAAATAAGTGTCTAGTTTGTCAGTTCTCAACTATGTCAGGCTGAGGATCATTGGCTTTTCCTGGTTCTTGAGGGACCATTTCTGGTCTTCATTAATCACTTTATCAGAAAGCTAGCTGGAATAAATATTGTTATCCAAAGCCTGAGGGAAAGCATAAATTACAGCTGTGAACCAGTGAGGTAGATTTTCATGGTACTTGGTAATTATCCGTAAATTTCCAATAATCCACACTGACTCCTACATTATGCCTTAGGCCCCAACCTGGCTCTTCTTCCTCCCTCTCTCTCCTCTCTCCTCTGAGTCTTTCCATTACTTTGATATCCCCAACATGCTGATGGCTAGGGGCCATTCCCTTCTTTGACATCCCACTGCTAAGCATTTTGTCCCGAAATGCCCTTATTAGTCTTTTCCCACTTCTACTGCCTACAATACCCAATCAGTTCCTTCCCACCCCAATGCTATGCTCTATAACATCTGAGATAGGGGCATTCCTCCCCTCTCCATCTATCCTAACACCAAGCTTCTGCCAAAATCCAAAGATGTCTGCCTAGAAGTTTCCCAAAATCATCCCCTCCTGTTCTCCTTACCAGCCCTGCCTCAGGTGAGGCAACACTGCTGTACTCCCAAGACTGATCAGATGCCTGCTTAGGGTACCTGTAATGGGGAGGGCCCCCGAAAGTGAGGGAAGCTCAGTTTTAATAAAGCAATCCTGAATTTTGCAATGAAAAGATCCAGGGGAAAAAGGCTATTTTAATTTCAGTACACATAAGAGCATTGTGTTTTGTGAATAATTTTTATTTTGAGTGAACAACATACGAGAGTGGGGATACCACCATCTTCACAGTTCATCTGGCCTCCGATGGCCTCACCTGACCAGTGTTGCAGCCTCCTGATGGCCCTCCATGGGCATCTTCCTCTCCCATCCAGCCCACCCTCAGCCCTCTACCAGCAGTCTTCCTGAAAAACATCTGTTTGTGTCCATCTGCCACTGACAGACCCCCTCCCTTTGTCCCTGGGGACAGAGTCCAAACTGATTATTACATCTTCAAAGGCTATCACAGTCTGTTCTTCCCAGACTTGCTTCCCTAACGTCTCCTCCCTTCCACAAATACTCCTGCTCAGCAATTGCCTCACTGTTCTCCAAACACTGTGCATGTTCTCTCCATTCCGTATTTTCATCCACTGAATGCGTATTCACTGTGGGTCTGGCATGTGCCTGGAACTGTGCAAAGAGCTGGAAATAAGGACAGAGATGAGCAGGGCACAGCCCCTTCCTGGCACTCACAGCCTCTTCATATGACTTTCTCTATGCCTGGAATGCCTGTCCACTTCCCTTGCCTAGAAAACGGTCGGCTCAACATCCAGCTCGACAGTCACCTCAGCCATCAGCTCTTGCCAGCTTTCCTGGGCAGAGCCGTCCTGCCCCACTTTAGCCCTTGCTGCATCAGGCTGTAACTATTTGTTATCAAGTCTGTCTCCCCATGGGCTGTGAGCACCTGGAAGGCAGATATGCATCACTGTGTACCTGCAGCTTCTGACACGGTATCCAGCATATAGTTGGTGCTCGTTAAAATGTTGGAGGACTAAACATACATACATATATATATAGTATATATATAAAATACCTACTATATTGCTGGACTTCTGCTTCATGTATATTAATTTGCCACCTAAACAAGATTTTTAACTCTTCAGGTCAAGAAATGCTCTTATATTGTCCTTGTAACCCCAAGGTGTCTAAGTAGACTGCTGAGAGCAGTGTCCGGTAATAGGACACAATTTGATGCATTGATTGATAGGCATAAACTCACTGGAGTGACTCACTTTGCCCTCAGCCACTCTAGTTTCAAGTACAAGTTCATCATCTGATGATTCAAGTTCATCGTATTTTGGGAAAAGAATAAAAGTCCAAAAAGCCCTACTCAGTTTACTCAGTCAATAACAGGGCTTATGTTTGTGGTTAAAGCAAATTATGAAATAATTGCAAATTTGGCAGGGGGGAAAGTATCCCTGAGGGCACAGGGATCTGGAATTTATTAAGCATGTATCCTCTGGGACATCAGGAGTAAGAATTTTCTGGTAAGGTCAACTCTAGAAGCATCTGTGCATTCAGCAAGACTTTGGTAAAGCGAGGGTGCTCATTTTCAACAAGGTAGGGAAGGCTAAAGAAAAGTAAACACACATCATGCTCTCTAAGATTTTGAGGACAGTATCGCTTAATGTAAGTTTTGAAATAAGTTAGATTTGTGTTTAAATCAAGTACCTATGAGCAATTTTCTTAACCTTTCTGTGCTTTGGTTTCCTCATCTGTAAAACCGAGATAAAAAACCTACCTCACAGGTTATTATAAGGATGAAATAAGATACTGGGTATTTTTAAAAGTGCTTACTATTGTGCCTGGCATGTAGTATGTGCTCAGTAAATAGTAATTACTAAATAGGACCTGGCCACACATCAAGTTTTTTTAAATTTGTTTTAAAATCAGTCAGTAAGCCAGCCTGAGAGATGGAACTTTCCATGAGGGTCTAGACACTTTGGTGTCTCAGGTTTCCATATGACTTGGTAGCTTCAAGGGTAAGGCGTGAAGAGGGAAAAAAGCAATATTTATTGAATGTCACTTTTGAGGGTGAATTGTTTTTTAATTTTGGGGGGTATATAGTAGGTGTATATATTTATTGGGCATGTGAGATATTTTGATACAGGCATACAATGTATAATAAAGGTGTATTGTTCCTTAATCCCATGATTAAGGAAACAGATATAAATGAGGAAACAGACATTATCCTCATTTTACAGGAGAAACTGAGGTTATAAGACCTTCTTAAAACTAAATAAGCAGTGGCAGAAAGAGGATTTGAACTCAGTTCTATCTGACCACAGGTTCTTTCTGCCATCCCTGGCTTCTACCCTACACCATCCCCTTTTCAGCCCCAAGGATAGTATGCCTTGCCAGCCACTAGCTAAGGTGCCCCTAAAATGTTTTAGGGTGCTCTTCTTACAATCAGCTTTTTTCACCTTGGCCCTATTCTTAGCAAAAGCAGCATCTCCCCAGGTGGAGGGCAAAAAAGGGGTTCACGAGTCTCAATGGCTGCTAAGGTTCCTTTCGGTATGAGAATTTATGATTCTGACACGATGTAGAGCCACATTTTTCTCTGTAAGCTCAGTTTCCTCATCCATCAAAGGAGGGCCCTGAACTGCATCAGAGCATCCCAAGTTTCCCGTGAGCACTTGCCAGGAGGTGGTAGGTATCGTGGTTGCGCACTCAGACTTGGGAGTCAGACTGCCTGGGTTGAGTCCTGCTCTACTGCTCACTAGCTAGGTAACTTCTGGCAAGTTATTTACCCTGTCTGTGCCTCAGTTTCCTCATCTATAAAATGGAGATGTTTACGGTCCATCAAAGGGTGGTTACAATAATTAAAAGCATTAACTGTACGTAAAGGGCTTAGTACATAGCACGGAACACCCAGAATGCTACATAGTAACATTTTACACTTAGAAAGAAGGGAGGGAACTAATCCTCTCAAGGTCCCAGGAATAAAACTTTTGGCAGCCGATGCTAGACCCAGAATGTATTTGATATCTTCTCTCTTTCCTTAGAAATCCTTGCATGACTTACATTCAAATTCCACATATCTATATATGTTTAATACAACACAATATTTTAAGGATTTTTTATTTAAGGCAGACACTCAAGTAAGATCTCCTTTGTTTATCTCATGGCCCTGGTACACCTGTGTGTGCTCATGTCCAGTTTGAGAAAATGGAAGTGAATGACTTCTAGGGTCCTTTTGGCTATGGTGTCTTTTAGTTCTGAGAATCACCGCCAAACATCTACACCTGCTCAGGTGCAGACTGAAGTGACCAGCTACCTGGTAGCCACTCATGTCACCAAACTGGCATAGAGATGCTAGAGCTGCCCGAGCTACACTGAGAATTTTGCCTGAAGGCACAGGGAGAAGCACAGCCTGGCTGCTCTAATTCTGTATTACTAGCCCATGCTGCAGACTACATTTTCTGCTTCAAGGTAGATGAAGAGGAAATAAAGGAGGATGGGAAGCAGAGAGGGGCAGGGATTTAAAAAAAGGAAAAAGCGCCTGCAGGATTTTTTGTTTGGATGTTAGGAAACAAGGAAAATGCACAAGTAGTCACAATCTTTGGGGGTCCTTCCATCTTCCACCATATATATGCCGTGTGTAGCATTTGAAGGTAGACATCAAGACTCATTCTTTAACCCCATTTAAGCATCCTGAGCAATGATGGTATTTGATATCCTTTCTCTTATAAAAATATTTGAATTTGTATAGCATTCAAGCAAAATATTAGCAACACTCTAAATTCTAAAAGTAGGGAAATGATTAAGTAAATCATAGAACATCCATTGGCAAGTTATGGTAATAAGAATCAGGATAGTGGTTACCTCTGGGAAGCAAAGAGGTCTACTTCTTGAGTGGTGAGTTCCTAATGTGTTTGATTATTAAAATGTGTGTGTATATATATGTGTGTGTGTGTGTGTGTGTGTGTTCTATATAATCTTTTGTATATATGCTATACTTTATAATAAGACATATTTTTAAGAAGAAAGACCATATACCATTCGAGGTAATAAGCAAAAGAGCAAATTTCAAAGGTGCATGCAATCTAAAATCATAACTGTATTTTAAAATCATGTACATGAGAAAAAAGATTAGAGGGAAACACACTACAGTGTTAATAGTGTTGAGATTGTGGGTAATATTTTTCCCTTGTCTGTTTCCCAAATTTTCATAATGACAAAAAAATTATAGTAAAACTTTCCCCAAAGAAATCTTTAAAACTATGAATCTTTTATCTTCAAATCACTTTCACATCTACTATCTCATTTGATTCTTACAACAACCTAGGGGGAGTCAATGCTAAGTGGTTACGTTTTATAGACTGGGAAACTGAGACATCGTGTTTATGACTTGTATACTCACTCAGTTGACTGGAGGTAAACCTGTGGATGAATCCCCGGTCTCCTGAGTCCTGCTAATCTACTGACTTCCAGGACTTCATCTTGGATTCTGGGGTCTCTGGATTCAATCTCTCAAATGGGAATATCTGCTACCTGGGTTTTGGCCCTGTAGACCAAGGTAGATGTCTATGGTTGTTGATGATGGGCTACACACAAGAAGTCACCAGAGATGTAATCCATGCCTGGGGTGTTCTGCCACATCCCTCTCTCACAAGGCACCTAGTCCATGGGGGTGAAAATTCTTGGAAGTATTGGAGGTGGGAGAAGGACAGGCTGTGTTTAAGTTGGACAACATTTCTTAACTCTAGTTTTTGGAGGGGAAGAAAGGTTGCAGAAATGGGTCTGTCCTTGTTCTATTCAGTGCCTTACCTATGATGTCTTCTCTCTCCCCATCTCTCTTAGGGAAAGTTGCCAGAAGCTCATAGGGTGGCTTTGGCAGAGGGTCCCCATTCAGGACCGTCAGAGCTCAGCCCAAGGCTCCTCACTTCAGAAAAGTTGGGAGCCTTAGAAACGGGGAGTGCCTTGCTCAAGAATACCAAAGACAGAACCAGACCCCAAACCCAAATCCCCTGCTCCTAGCCCAGGATACTTGGCAGGGCCATCCAGCATTGAGGAGAGCCCCAGGTGTGTGGTGGAGTTGCTGTGATGGGGAACGAGGATGGCTTTCATCAGTGTCTGCCTGGGCTCTCACTCCCGCCCCCTCTTGATTGTCATTCCTGGAGATCGCTTGACTTCATCCACTATTTTCCACTGACAAGTGATACTGAATGAGTTCCTGGAGAGATTCAAGGGTACCTCAGAAAGCTTCTCTTGATTCATAATTAATTAATGATACCACTACTGAGGGCTGACTGGGTGCCACATCCTCAGAGAAATGTCACAACAATCTTATGCATTAGGTGCTATTGTTAGTGCCATTTTTCATTTGAGGAAATAACTTACTTAAGGTGACACAGCATCTAAGTGCTGAATCCAGAATCCAAGTGCCTTCCACACTTTGGTGCCTACTGTGTGATGCTGCCCCTGTTTCCTGACAATGCCAATTTTGGACACTATTAAACTAGCAATCCCCACATTCAAACTGACTTTGTAGAAAGAGTGAGCTTCGGAAACAGAATAAAGTATAAGAAAATGGACTCCACTCCCGTTCCAAAGCGAAGAAGTAGGTTGAGCCAGGCAGACAGAGCTGCTAGTACTCTGCCGCTTCTCTGGCAGATCTTATCTTGTGTTTCTAGCATTCTGGGCACGAATACAGTCTTAGGGTTTAGAGAACAGAGTAATGGGGCAGAGGAATGTGGGAAGGGACTGTGCACTGAACTAAGAAACTGCTAGAACCTTTAAATATCTCAAACTTTTTTGTTTTTTCTTTTGCGTTTGGCTCCCTGCAATGTTTTTCTGTTTAGATTTGGTTGCCACGAGTGGGCTGTTTTTAGTTGCCTAGTTCCTTCCCCTCCCCTTTTAATTTTTTCCCTTCCTTTTGCACATGTCCCAGCATGAAGTCTCCAACTCTTATCTCACTCAGCAAAACATACCAAGGCTGATCTGAATGTGGATTCCCCAGGCAATTCACCATCATAAAACCTCAGCAATCTTCAAGTCTCTGCTTAACCCTCTTTCATTGAGGATTAACCCCTGAAATCACCCTAGCCAGGGCTTCCTTCTAAGGCGAGACAGCCATTCTTTTGTTTGCATGGAGAAGAGTTTTGGTGTGGAAAGCTTTTCTGTCCCCTCCACTTCATGGCACTGCCTGTGTGTGTGCTGAGAGTGTGCACACTGGACATTGGTGGCATTAACTGAAGTCAGGGTAAAATAAGGATGCAAAGGACTCAGATGTTGATCACTCTCCTGTGGCAAAGACCTCAGGGGCTCTGCCTTGCTCTGTTCTTTTCCAGTCTCTCAATTCAGCAGGCATTTCACGGTTCTCCTGGGGGCTGAGGGGAGGGAGGCAGGCAGGAGTAGTTTTCGTTTTCCCTGGGTAAGAGTTTCATTCAAGTGGGAGTGGACTTAGTTCTCTGTCAAGATTCTTATCACTTTTCGGGTTTAGAATATCAGGATCAGACTTCCGTGAACAGCTGACAGCATTTCTATCCAACTTGGAGATTCCAAACTAAGAGTAATTAGAATGAAGCAAGATTGATAAAAAGAACTGGAGGCACAATGGTAATAAGAATAACCCGACCGGGGTGTTGGGGGCTTCTCCCCCCACCCCAATTATCCTTCCCTTGCATTGTTTTGTGGAGGACGGTCTGGCTGTTTGTTTACTTGACGCCCTAAGTTGAATTTCCCCTTAAGGACAGGAGCAGATCTCCACAGATCTGGCTTGGGTGTTTTAATGGAATCATAGTTCAACCTGTAAACTGGTCAAAATTTCTGTTTCACAGCAGAAAGAGTAAAAAGCTTCACGTGTTCTCCCTCCTCTCCTTGCTTCACTTTATAATGGTGCTATTTATTCCAGAACAATCTATAAGTAGATAAAATAGCTAAGTAGAGATAACAAATAACTTCATTCAAATGCAAACACTCCTCCACCTAATCCCGCCCGGTGTCCGCCGGGCTGCTCCGACACGCCCGGGGTTTACCTGCGCGCACTCCAGCGGGAGGGCGGGTTGTGGAGGTGTGCTGAGCGGCGCGCGGGGGTGAGGGCGTGGAAGCGGAGGGTGGGGCCCGGAGAGCCGTTACCAGGGCGAAAAGTAAAGCGAAAACACCCGCCCTGCACTTCCCGCGCGACGCCGCTGGAAATCGGTTCAGGTCCAGAGCAGGATCTCGGAGGATCCCGCGTGGAACTCCAGGGCTCCCGGGTCCGCCGGGGCGCAAAGACTTCCGAGGCCGCCCTCCGCGTGTTCCCAGGCCCGTGGAGAGGTGGGTGGTCTGAGTGAGGTCGGGCTTGGCGGCGAGGAACCCCGGTGGGGGGAACTGGGGACTTCAAGTGAGACCCAGGCTCCAGACACCTCTAGTTTCTACCCCAAATTACCAAACTGTGACCTTCGGCCGCCTCTCTCCCAGAGGCAGGTGGAAAGGAGCAGGTGTTTCTGCCCTTCACCGTGCCCCCACACCCTGCGGCCGCGCAGGTCTCCCTCCCAGGCAGGTGCGAAAGTCCCAGGCCACACTTGTGTCTACAAATAGTCATCCACGGGCAGTCAAGAAGGTTCCTTGGTTCTGCCGCTCTCTGAGCAGAAATTGTTGGGGTCGGGGAATAAGAACCAGGAAATCGTTTTTAAGGTTCAAACCCAGTTCTGCTGAGGTCTCAGCTCGAATCTCGGACCACGGGGCCCCGCCTTTCCCGCCACCCTGGCTTGAGGGCAGAGGGGATTTCTGCTGCGGGTTCCGCCTGTGGTCATTGCGTCCCCATTCCGGGCCGTCCGGTCCCAGTCCAATCGGCTCTGGGAGCAGAAGAACACGTGAAAGCTGAACATGGGTTTTCCCTAAATATTGCCTGAGAGCGGGGCGACCCCCAGGCCTGGGCAGGTTCGCGGACCCCAAAGCACCTTCTCTTTCCCCCTCCTCCTGGCCGCTGGCTTCCGCCCCCTCCTACCCTCCCACCGGGTTGCCTCTGATTCCTCCTGGACTCCGATCTTTTCACGCTCTTGTTGGTTTCACTGACATGTTCTTGTCAATTTCAAACGCTTTGTGATTGTAAAAAAAAAAAAATCGAACCGATACGGTCCTACCACTCGCCCTAGTTTCGGAGCCCGGAGCTGTCCTGCGTGTGCGTCCATGTGGAGTGTCCGGGGCTGCGGGCTCGGGCGCACGGTGCCAGCCGAGGGCTGCCCTCCGCTTTTGTGTTAACCGGCGGGCTTCTCGCGGTCCCCGCCGCAGAGGTCACACCCGGCGGGTAACGGCGTGGATACACCGAAGGGTGACTTTGGACACCTTCCCCACACCACAGACTAACGCTTCTGCCCCTACTCCGCCCCTGCTAGAGAAGTAGGAGGCCAGTGGGGGAGGGGGTATTTTCCTGAAGCTCCAGAAAATGACCACGCATTTTAGAGAAAGGTCGTGCCCGCTTCCCAGCCTCACCTAGTCTGGGCTGGGGCCGGGACCCGCCTCCCCACCTTCCCCGCCCCCCCCGCTCTTCAACCTAGCGGAGGGACAGATGCCAGCGCGGTGGAGTCATGCCGCTGGCTTGGGCACCATTGGTCATGCCTGGAACACGCAGCAGCGAGTACGCACATCTGGCGGCTATCCCGGGCGGCTCCGGTCCTGATATGGAGAGAGAGGGCGGGCTGGTGTGTGTCTCAGTGAGCGAGGCTGGGGGAACGCGCCTGGGCTGGCTCCTCCCCGAACTTGCATCACCAGTGCCCCCTCTCTCCACCCGCCTTCGGCCCCGCCTTGGCCCCTCCTCCACCCCCCTTCCTCCGCTCCGTTCGGCCGGTTCTCCCGGGAAGCTATTAATAGCATTACGTCAGCCTGGGACTGGCAACACGGAGTAAACGACCGCGCCGCCAGCCTGAGGGCTATAAAAGGGGTGATGCAACGCTCTCCAAGCCACAGTCGCACGCAGCCAGGCGCGCACTGCACAGCTCTCTTCTCTCGCCGCCGCCCGAGCGCACCCTTCAGCCCGCGCGCCGGCCGTGAGTCCTCGGTGCTCGCCCGCCGGCCAGACAAACAGCCCGCCCGACCCCGTCCCGACCCTGGCCGCCCCGAGCGGAGCCTGGAGGTGAGCGCTGGAAGCCGAGGGAGTGAGCGCGACGAGGGCTGCTCGCCTTCATTCCCTTCGCGCCCCTCTAAGTAACCAGTCCGCCGACCCCTGACCCACCCCGGATCCGCGCCCCCAGCCTCCGGCTTGGAAATAACTCTGGCTTAAACTTCTTCTAAGCCACCGCTGCTCCTCGGCGCTTCGAAAAGTTTCCCGCAAAGCGAAAGAACTAACTTTCTCTTTTGACTTGGGGCGCGAAAGGTTCCTGGTGACGGAGGTCGGGCGTCCACTCTGCCGCCAGCCTCGAGCGCCGCTTCTCTCCGCCGACGGCGCTGGCTTGCCCGGCTGGGAGAGGGCGTAAGGTGGGTGGGCGGGTGCGTTGGGGTGTCCGAGGCTGCCTCGCTCGCCGTCCCGCTCCATCCCTCGCTTCGAGACACGGCACTGTGGGAGCCGATCCTTCCCGGGTGGGGGGGGGGGGGCGCAGAGAGGCACGAAGGCCGGAGGCTTGCGGGAGGGCTGCCCCACGCGCCGAGAGGAATGAATGGGGAAGGGGCGAGAGGGCGGGAGGCGTCCCGGGCGCGGCCGCTGGGGGTCGCCCTGGGTACCCCGCAGCACTGGCGGCAGGACCGTGAAGGCAACCCCGAGAAAAAGTTAGCTGGGATAAGCTTGGAAGTGGCGAGCGCTGGTGTCGCGCTGTCCCGGGGCGGAAGACGGGGAGGGCTCCCGGCAACGGCTGGTGTCCGGACCCCGAGCCCGGGACTCCCACACACCTGGGACTCTCACTCTGGCTTTTCCTTCGGCGGGTCCGCGGGAGACCCACCGTGGCGGGGAAGCGAGGGTGTGGAGCCACTTGTGCAGATATTTGAGAGAATGGCTTTGTGGTCTAGTGCCAGGACTCTGAGCGCTTACACTGCAATCGATGTCGTTGGGCCTCAGTATGCGGAGCCGGGAAATAAGGGCACATGGGCAGTACCGGCCCCCTCTGCGTGTTGGAGGGCACAATGCAGTGGTTGGACCAGATAACTACTAAGGTCCTTTCTGTCTGGAGATTTTCAGATTTTGGAGTGGTGTAGTGGGGAGAAAAGGAGCCAGTGAGGGGACTTGAATGGGGTGGGTCTCTATCTAATGTCATTCACCAGTGTCCAGACAGTGGGGGAAAGGGGACTTTTCTGCAGGGCATCTTTTCCCTCACCAGCTTTCTTTCCACTGGATTCGTTCTCCTTCTCTGCTCCCCCCACTCCCATTTTCATTTCTCATCTACTTCCTTTCCTCCTAAACATTTTCTTTTCCCTAATTTCATTGCATAGGTCACATATGCTTTCTTACAAATAAAATAGTTACTAAATCCTTGATGAACCCAGAAAGAAAAGGAGAGCCAGAAAATCTGGATGTTCTCTCAGTGTACCCCTTTCGTTGTAGGTGACAGTCATATCTTCTGTTCGAAGTTTCTGTCTCTGTAACTTAAAGTGAAGGCAAAAAATTGGTATTACTGTCCCCATTGTTTTGCAGTTAGCATTGGTTGTAGAATAATGCTACAACATACAGGCTCCTGCTTTGAGGATATCCTGGGCAAAGATGGGATGGGGTGAGGATTGCAGTTACTGTCGGAATGGTTTCAGAGACAGCAAAGAAGGCAGCACCCCACGCCCGCAGTGGGGATAAGATACAGCACCCAGCATCTGTGGCAGTGATGGGAGCCTTCTTTTTCTCTCTCTCTTCCTCCTTGCCCTTTAGCCATTATAGAATTCCTTTTTCTCCATGGCCGTTTTCTTCGATAGCCCCTCCCTATCTCAGTCCTGTCAAAGTCTCCTCTGTGATTGGTACCAGGTGCCAGGACTCTTGACCCCTTATCTACCTGGCTAATGGCTCTGTTCTCTGGTTGCCTTGTTGGTTGATCCCTTGAGGCGGTCGATACCTATTGGTGATGGAGCAAAATGAGCAGTCGGTGGGTGTTCAGCAGCTTGGCATGGGCTGGGCCACTCACCAGCTTTATGACCTCAGGCAAGTCATTTTTACCTCCCTGGACCAATGTACTCATTATGAAATGAGAATCTGACCTAGATGATTCTAATATTGAGAGGGTGTGATTTCCATTAGATAGAGTCCATGATTCCTTCCTTTTTAAAATTGGCTGGGCATGGGACAGGGCCAGTGGCTTCGAGTGTTTACCCAGCCAGGGGAGGAGGAAGGACATAGCCAAGATGCCTCAGAAGCTTTCCAAGGGAGAAATGGTTTATATGTGAGAATTGGTTCTCTTTCAAATATGTAATGCAGAAATGCTGGCATCAGCAAATAGTGGGGTGAAACCTACCTGGTCTGTGAAGAACTTGGGGTCAATGAGAGTACAAAAGAGGCTCTGACTGACCTGAATGTCTTGAAGGTTCCAGTTAATTCCTCACTAACAGGGCTTTATTGAATTGATAACAACAGAATGAGTTTTTCCTGAAATGGAGAAGATGGAGTCACAGTAGTAATGACTACCCGGTGTGTATGTAAATCTCATATGTCCTTCTCAACAGCCCTTTGGGGAAGGCAGTTTTGATCTCAAATTACAGAGGAAGAGAATGAGAGGCCCAGAAAGCCTAAGTGATTTGTTGGTGGATGCTCAGCTTATGAGTGGCACTGATAGGCTTAGAAACATTGTCTCTGGCCCTTGATGCCCAGCTTTGCACCTCTTCAAGAGGTCTGGGAGGAAGACCAAGATATGAAGAGTTAGTGAAAGGCCAGTACTGGCTTCCTAGTAACATAAGATGGTTAGCAAGCAATGCTTAGTGGAAAGAGGATGAAAATTAAAAGTGAAAATTCAATGTAGCTGTAGCTACTAGGAAATAAAAATCTGGGAGCTGAATTTCCAGTTAAAGGAATACATGAGTAAACTTTCACTTTCTTGAAAATGATGAAACTGCCAATGATACAACATGATTTCTGATTGGAAATAATCAAGCAGAAACAAAATGCAAGTTCTTGGTAGCAAGTCTGAACAATTTTATGATCAGCATAGAAAGTCAACTCTGATCTGAGGTCCCCAAACAATTTTTTTCAATGACCGGGATGTTTGAGGATCTCAACTTTCTGAAAAATTGTGTGAAGATTTAACTTCATTTCCTTGTGGGGACACAGCCGTAGTCTAGGCTGAATCATACCTCGAGAGACTGAGTAAAGGAATAACTAGAAAGTATCCCGAGAAGTTAAGCTTTAGCCTAGTGCCGAGAAAACCCAAATCTCGACAGATACATCTGTTTTATTTTCTGAAAGGCTTTTAACATTTTTACAACCATTTATGTCCCCAAGGAAGCCCACCCAATGCTTTTCATAAAAGCATTCCATACCACTGACATTCTTCAGCTTCTTTCATTGGGACTGCTGACTTTACATAAGAAGAAGGGTAGGGGGCGGGAGTCATAAACAGCAGACCCCAAGCCCTGAGAGCTCATTAATAAACCTAGTTGGATGGCAAAATGGAACTACACTCTACTGCAGTGGAATTCAAAGTCCCCGTGTAGAAGGGAGCCATCCAGGCCTCCAAACAAAGACCAGCCCAGTGGCAGCTCTGAATGTCATCCCCGAATCACTGAGTTTTTAATAAACTTGGAAAGGGAAGGGAAACATGAATGCATGGGAGAATCTTAAGCCTCTGGCTTTAGAAGGCTAGTTTCTCAGAGTTTATTGCCTGACAGCGACAAGTATCCTCCCAGCATCCTAAGATTATAGGATTAAATTGAGAGAAGAACTTCAGTTCTGACTCATGACACAGGGCTTTGGGAAAAGAATTACATACATAGCCTGGGTTTCTTTGACTAGTCAAGGGCAGATTTCATTGGCCTGGAAGTCTTGCCTCCATTGGTGTATGTTAGATCTCCAGGGGGAGTTTGAAGTCAGGGTATTCTATTCAGAAGCCTTTGAGATCAAAGTGGGTGACCAGCTGCCCTCCTTCCTGGACTCCACAGAGCCTCTGTCAGAGAGCCAGCCCTGGGCTGGAGAGATCTCTGGGAGGCCTAGTAATCATGGAGCTCCTGGCCAAAGAATGTTTTCCAGGGCATATTCATGTATTAGTTCCTCAATTCCTCATAGGATATTATGGGAAAATAGGGCGATTATTACAAGCCCTCTTTAACAGAGGAGAAAAAGCCACGGGGAGGTACAATGATAACACATAATGGAGTAAGTGGGCTTCAAATCTTCATCTTCTGACCTCAGTCTGGGAATTTTGTGGATAAGAGACCCACTTGCTCACACTCCCAGAAGGCAGTTAGCAAGCAGCCTGGGTATGCACCGTGACATAAAGATTAGCAGTTCATTAAACAGAGTTCAGTTTATCCCGAGGAATCTTTACTTAGCCTCCCCTCTATCACTTCATTTCCAGGCCTCCCACCTACCTTAAGGCCTGCCCCGAGAAAATTTGCTCTGGTTTTTTGTTTGTTTGTGCAATATAACATAATGCTTGTTTGTTTTTGTAATGTAGAATAATATTTGTTTGTTTTTTGCAATGTACAAATTAAGGGCATGAATCCTGGAGCCAAACTAACTTAATTCCAAATCCTGATGCTGCCCCATATTAATTCTGTGAATTCGGGCAAATGACTTAGTTTGTCTAAACCTCAATTATCTCATCTATAAAAGGCAGCTAGATCTTAACTCACTGGGTTCTCGTGAGGATTAAATGAGATAGTGCCCCTAAGGTTTCTGGTATGAAGGAGGCACTCCTTAAATGTTCGAGACTTGCCAGAGGGCTTCTTCTCTGTCTGGACTGTGCTAATGACCACAGATCCCCGGTTGAGAGGAATGCCCAGACCACACTCATCCTACACTCATCCCTATACTCATTGTCCCTTGGGAACCAACTGCAGGGAGGAGGGGAAATGGCCACCACTGGAGGGAGTACACAGCAGGCCAAGACTTATGGGGGACTCTTCCAAATTGGGGCCATGGAACTGTCACTATTTCTACTCTTTATTTTCCTTTTGTCATCCTTTTGGGTTCACCGAGCTATAGAATAACAGAGGGAGATGAATTTAGCAAATACATCACTGAAGCTTCTCCCTCGGAAGTTGGGCCCAAGCAATGGGAATGAGAAAGGTAACCTTGGACCGTGGGGGCCATTTGATTTGATGACCCCATCCCCACTTCATTTATCAGTTGGCCAATGAGGCATGGCGAGTCAGGCATTGGGCCAGGCTCTGGGTAAAGCAATGGTGGAGACTCAATGCTTGCATTGGAGGAGCTGTCAGTCATTTACCAGACACAGACTGGGTCCTAGAGAGCTGAAATTACTAGCTCAAGTCACTGCTGTTTAGTGCCAGAGCCAGCCCCAGGGTTCCCTGCCCCCACACCCAGCCTAAGTCTATCCCTATACCACAGGCCTGAACAACTCCCCCACAATACAGTGCCTCACTTTTCTTTAAGACCTTTTGCTTTGCCAACCTTAACCTTAAGAATCCACCTCCCCATCCCCTGCCAAAGACTGGGGTGAAGAAACGCACCTGGCTACAGTTACCTTTCTCATTCCCATTGCTTGGGCCCAACTTCGGGGGAGAAGCTTCAGAGATGTATTTGCTAAATTCAAGGATTCCCCACTTTTTGCTTTTACTTCCACTCACTGATAGTTTCAGCTTGACGTCAAGCCTCTTTGAAAAAGAGGCTTTTTTTTTTAAGTGAAAGAAACTTTATTTTGAGTAATATACAAAAAAAAAAAAAGAGAGAGAGAGAGAAAGAAAAAGAAGCTGAAAATGAGATTACTCATGATTTTTAAAATGGCCTCACTGATTTTTAAAAAATGTTCTTCCTCTTTCAGGACTGTTTGTGGCCACATTTGCACATAGGCACACCAGCCAAAACTCATAGATCTTGTGAATTCAGAGTAGCCTGAAACATCATCCCTTATAAATTTCAAATAGGCATTTTGTTCATGTCACTGAGCTATGTGTATTTTAAGAACCTGCTTTACTTAAGATGAGGATGGCATGAAATGAAAACAAAACAGAAACCCAAGGGCTTATGGGACTTTTCTCTGAGGGTGGGGCTCTGGTGTTGGAGGTCTGGTGGGGGAGGGGGACTTGATCCCATGCCCCAGAGCCCCTGAAACAGTTTGGGTTTCAATGTGTCTTTCAGCAAAATGATGCTTCAACACCCAGGCCAGGTCTCTGCCTCGGAAGTGAGTGCTTCTGCCATCGTCCCCTGCCTGTCCCCTCCTGGGTCACTGGTGTTTGAGGATTTTGCTAACCTGACGCCCTTTGTCAAGGAAGAGCTGAGGTTTGCCATCCAGAACAAGCACCTCTGCCACCGGATGTCCTCTGCGCTGGAATCAGTCACTGTCAGCGACAGACCCCTCGGGGTGTCCATCACAAAAGCCGAGGTGGGTTCTATCACAGGTATTCATTCTTTCGGCACATGTTTCGCTCGCAGCCACTGTGTGTTGGGCATGTTCTAGGCAGGGGGCTGTTGTTGAGAGTGAAACAAACAAAACCACTGCCCTCAGGGAGCTTACCTTCTCCTGGGAGGAGACAGAAGTACATAACATACGTAAGTACACGTTAAGAGATGAGTGCAAAGGAGAAAAAAGCAGGGAGCGGGGCAGAGAGAACGGGTAGGGATGGGGTTGCTGGGTTTAAAAACTTTTCAGGCCAGGCATGGTGGCCCACGCTTATAATCCCAGCACTTTGAGAGGCCAAGATGGGATTATCGCTTGAGTCCAGGAGTTTGAGACCAGCCTGGGCAACACAATGAAACCCAATCTCTATGACAGTATTAGCTGGGCAAGGTGGTACATGGCCTATAGTCTCATCTACTTGCGAGGCTGAGGTGGGAGGACCGCTTGAGCCCAGGAGGTTGAGGCTGCAATGAGCCGTGATCACCTCACTGCACTCCAGCCTGGGTGATGGAGCAAGACTCATTTTGCTTTTAGAGACAGTGTTGCTCCATCACCCAGGCTGGGGTGCAGTGGGGTGATCACGGCTCATTGTAGCCTCAGTCTCCTGGGCTCAAGCGATCCTCCTGCTTCAGCCTCCCAAAACACTGGGATCACAGGGATGAGCCATTGCACCCAGCCGGGGTTGCTGTTTTAAATTAGGAAGTCAGGTAAGGATTCACTGATAGTGACTTTTGAGCAGAGGTCAAAAGGAAAGGAAGAAGGAAAGAGGAGAGGGAAGAAGCCACGTGGGTATCTGGTAAAAGAAATTAAGGGCACTGAGGTGGAAGTATTGGTGCCTGGTGGGCTGTGCAGTGGGGCAGAGTATAGGGGTGGGAGATAAATAGGGGCTGGTCATATTGGGTCTTACAGATTATTATTGTATAGATGCAGCCCTGGGCTCAAAGTGAGGTGGGAAACCACAGAAGGCTTTTGAGCAGAGAAGCAACAAGATTCAACACACACACACACACACAGATACACACACACACTTTTTTTTTTGAGACAGAGTCTTGTTCTGTCACCCAGACTGGAGTGCAGTGGCATGATCTTGGCTCACTGCAACCTCTGCCTCCCAGGTTCAAGGGATTCTCATGCCTCAGTCTTCCAAATAGCTGGGATTACAGGTGCCCGCCACACGTCTGGCTAATTTTTGAATTTTTTTAGTAGAGACGGGGTTTCTCCATGTTGGCCAGGCTGGTCTCGAACTCCTGACCTCAGGTAATCCGCCCGCCTCGGCCTCCCAAAGTGCTGGGATTACAGGTGTGAGCCACCACGCCCAGCCTTGATTTATATTTTTAAATGATCACCCTGGCTGTCATGTTGAGAATGGGCAGTAGGGGTAAGACAGAAGCTGAGTGCACAGAAAGGAGGCCGTGGCAGGAATCCACGTGAGTCAGGGGGCCTGCAGCAGGAGGGAGCAGTGCAGGTGCTGAGAAGTGGTTGGCTTTGGATCTGACTTGAAGGTAAAGCTGATTTGCTGATAGATTGGATGTGGGGTGTAAGAGAAAGGGAAGACTCAAGGGTGACTGAGTTTTCTGGCCAGCATAGCTGTAAGAATGGAGCGTCCATTTGCTGCTGAGATTTGGGATTATAGGGGTTAGGGTGGTGGCAAGAGCAGGAGGTCTGTCCTATTCTGCAGACCCCTGTGGAGATGTCAAGCAGGCAGTTGGATATGTGAGTCTGGAGTTCAGAGGACAGTCTGGGCTAGAGATAATAGAGTTGGAAATTATCGGCATATAGATGGCACTTAAAGCCATGAGTCAGGATGAGGCCACCTTCTGTGTCCAGTTGTTCTGAAGAAGCTTGGAGCGTGGTGGTCCCTGTTTTTATCACTACTAGGACCCAAGCACCCAGACAGTAGAGCAAGGACCAGGCAGCCTGCCCCACCCTTCCCTGTAGCAATGTTCACAGCCTTGGGACCAGGTGTTGCTCCAGGTTCACTTCTGTCTGACACACTTGCACTGTTCCACGCTTGGCAACCTTGGGTAAGACTCCTGGAATAATAAACATGGTGAGAAGTCTGGGAGGTGGCTTCTGGCGATGCCATAGTGGCTTAAGGATGTCAGAGCTGAGGTTCCACCATTTTATTGGCCTTTTCCTCATGGTGGCAAGTGGAAGTGTTTCAGGCTTACTCAACTGGCATGATTGCAGCCTTTGGGCAAGGAGTAGTGGGACTGACCTAAAAGACTGTCCTAGTTCACCACTTGCAGGTGGCACCCCAGCATGGGCCGATTAATGCCGCTTTGGTTGGGAATGGGCTTAGGTGCCTTTTCTACAGGAGCATCATGGGCTTCTCCCAAATTTGGGAAGCTGGTGCTCTGATGCTCCAGGTGAAGTCAGAGGTGAATGGGGTTGCCCTTGGGTCTTGAATTGAAGAAGAGGCCGGGAGTGGGTGGCTAGGTAATGATCCTGAGATCATTCCTGGTTCTCAAAGAAAGGAGATGTTTACCAGACAGAATCTGTTTCGGCTTTAAATGATTATAGTTAATACCAATAGTTATCAATTTGCATATTATCCTCATCTCAAAATCCAAATGCATTTTTAAAATTGGCTAACTTTTAATTTACTAATATATTGCCGGTATAATTTTAACTTTGATTTTTGTTGTTCACTCACGTGTGTGTGTGTGCGTGTGTGTGTGTGTGTGTGTAGGGGTTTTCACACAAAAGTCTAGAGCTTTAGTATTTCGGGGTCTTTTAGCGCTAGCATTGCCCTTGTCTGCCAGCTTTTGCTGGCAGTAAAAGGCAGTGTATTTGAGGTAGGTGGCATTTCTTACTGCCCTTTAAATGTGTTTCTTTTGGATTTTACAGGTAGCCCCTGAAGAAGATGAAAGGAAAAAGAGGCGACGAGAAAGAAATAAGATTGCAGCTGCAAAGTGCCGAAACAAGAAGAAGGAGAAGACGGAGTGCCTGCAGAAAGTGAGTGCCTTCTAGCCTTACCCTTCCTCTCGCTCACGCCTGTCTTCACCAGCTTCATGTGGCTATCAGAAGAAGAGTTAGAAAACCCCCTACTTGGTTATAGTTTCCCAAGAAGGGCCTTGTAGCTGGTAGCAGAAATGCCAGTTGCAGAATGAGGAGGTGGCAAAGCAGTTAACACAATGGATGTGACGGTGGATGTATAAAAACAGGTGTGTGAATTCGTCTGATGCCTGACTCCCAGCAGCCTCGGCCGGTTCATACATGTCCATCAGCTTCCAGGCTGCAGGACATGCCAGCCCAGTTAAAGAGGCTTCACTTGACTGTTTTCCTGAGAAAAGGAAGCTGCCAGCTCTCATTTGGCTCACTATGAAAAGCCTTTAATTAATCTCTTCAAACAAGTTATTTCCTTAATCCACAAGCAGTGGTTACACTTGCTTTGCATTCTTGTCTGGTTCCTAACTCTAGAGCCCTTCTCCCTGGCTTAGCCAGTAAGCTGAGCCCCTGGCTGCGTTCAGCCGGCCCGCCTGAGAGACACTAGGGGAAATAGCTTTTGTGGGCAAGCAGGGTGGCCGGTGGTGCTCAGCAGTCTTTCCAGTGGCTGTGTCCCTCCTCCAAATGTGGACAGGCCATGACAGAGTCTTAGCCCAAGTCCCACAGATCCCCAAAAGTTCTGTTGATTGCTTCAGGGGATCAGTGAAAATTAGGGAATTTTGTGTGTTGCTATATACATTTTTTCTGGGGAGATGAGCTTCTCATTGAGATCTGTGACTCAGAATCGACTAAGCCACCATAAGTCTGGATTTCTCCCCAGCTCCCAAGGCCCTTTTGGGTCCAGAAGACCTGCATATGGGCTGTTGACTCATGCAAATGAGGTATCTGAACTGCAGCTTCAGTATTAGCAGAGCCACAGGCCGCCTCTGTGGCATCACCAGGGTTTCTCTGAAGAAGAGGGTCTGCATTTTCCTAAACCCAGTGCTGCTCTCCCATCTCCCATCTTCCTCTCGCAGCTTGATGAGCCCCGGTGTGTCCCAGGTACACCCCTGCATCCAGGCAGCAGCCCAGGCCACCCCCTCCTCACTGGCCCTTGGCTCCTTTCTTGATGCCTCTGTTGCTTGTCCCCCAGGAGTCGGAGAAGCTGGAAAGTGTGAATGCTGAACTGAAGGCTCAGATTGAGGAGCTCAAGAACGAGAAGCAGCATTTGATATACATGCTCAACCTTCATCGGCCCACGTGTATTGTCCGGGCTCAGAATGGGAGGACTCCAGAAGATGAGAGAAACCTCTTTATCCAACAGATAAAAGAAGGAACATTGCAGAGCTAAGCAGTCGTGGTATGGGGGCGACTGGGGAGTCCTCATTGAATCCTCATTTTATACCCAAAACCCTGAAGCCATTGGAGAGCTGTCTTCCTGTGTACCTCTAGAATCCCAGCAGCAGAGAACCATCAAGGCGGGAGGGCCTGCAGTGATTCAGCAGGCCCTTCCCATTCTGCCCCAGAGTGGGTCTTGGACCAGGGCAAGTGCATCTTTGCCTCAACTCCAGGATTTAGGCCTTAACACACTGGCCATTCTTATGTTCCAGATGGCCCCCAGCTGGTGTCCTGCCCGCCTTTCATCTGGATTCTACAAAAAACCAGGATGCCCACCGTTAGGATTCAGGCAGCAGTGTCTGTACCTCGGGTGGGAGGGATGGGGCCATCTCCTTCACCGTGGCTACCATTGTCACTCGTAGGGGATGTGGAGTGAGAACAGCATTTAGTGAAGTTGTGCAACGGCCAGGGTTGTGCTTTCTAGCAAATATGCTGTTATGTCCAGAAATTGTGTGTGCAAGAAAACTAGGCAATGTACTCTTCCGATGTTTGTGTCACACAACACTGATGTGACTTTTATATGCTTTTTCTCAGATCTGGTTTCTAAGAGTTTTGGGGGGCGGGGCTGTCACCACGTGCAGTATCTCAAGATATTCAGGTGGCCAGAAGAGCTTGTCAGCAAGAGGAGGACAGAATTCTCCCAGCGTTAACACAAAATCCATGGGCAGTATGATGGCAGGTCCTCTGTTGCAAACTCAGTTCCAAAGTCACAGGAAGAAAGCAGAAAGTTCAACTTCCAAAGGGTTAGGACTCTCCACTCAATGTCTTAGGTCAGGAGTTGTGTCTAGGCTGGAAGAGCCAAAGAATATTCCATTTTCCTTTCCTTGTGGTTGAAAACCACAGTCAGTGGAGAGATGTTTGGAAACCACAGTCAGTGGAGCCTGGGTGGTACCCAGGCTTTAGCATTATTGGATGTCAATAGCATTGTTTTTGTCATGTAGCTGTTTTAAGAAATCTGGCCCAGGGTGTTTGCAGCTGTGAGAAGTCACTCACACTGGCCACAAGGACGCTGGCTACTGTCTATTAAAATTCTGATGTTTCTGTGAAATTCTCAGAGTGTTTAATTGTACTCAATGGTATCATTACAATTTTCTGTAAGAGAAAATATTACTTATTTATCCTAGTATTCCTAACCTGTCAGAATAATAAATATTGGAACCAAGACATGGTAAACATGTGTTGTGCTGGTTTCTGTTCATTTAAATCTGTCGGTTGCTGAGACCTAGCGATTCCCTGCCTTTCCCTCCCCATTATGGGGGGTGCCTAGCTTTAAACTTCTCCAGATGTCATCCTTTGCTCTTTGGGGCATCACTAGATGGGATAGTTGGCTTTCAGTCCTGTTCCTCAGTCTTGGGCACCTGATGCTCAATTTTTCATTGACAAACCCTGAAACATGGCACCAAATATATCCTTTAGATCAACAGTTTGGTGTTTAGAATTTTGATGTACAACTGAATTGCTAGATACCTTAATTATTTTCTCTGAATGTACAAACACCTAAAACATACACCTGTTGTTCAGCTTGAACCTTTGACCCCTAACATTCTGCCACAGAACTCGTCTCAGAGAGTTACTCACTTGAGTTACATCTGTTTCATGTCTAAACGTGTGTCTCATTGTTGCAAATACATATCAGAAAAGAATGGGAAGGGGTACCGGAGGAAGAAAGAACCATTTTAGACAGCATGGGTGTGATAATTCAAAGAAAGACATTCCACTGAATTTCCTGGAATTTCCAGGGCGTATGATTCCTTTGGCCTGCAAGAGAGCCAGGCCCCCTTGCTTTTTGTGCTTCTCTATAACATTCACAGGCTAGACATAAAAACTGGCCACTCGCCGCTGGTGCCATTCTTCAGAGAAGAATGTCTTCGTTAAATGTCAGATTCGTACACATGAATTCTGTGCCTACTTCTTTGACCTCATGTATGTTTCCTTTAAATGATCACTTAAGACACAGGTGTCTTCATTTTACTCTCTGAATTGCACATCAGGGGTCTTTCCTAATCCATCAAGAGCCATCTGATGTTAATACCATTCAGCACTTCTTTCAGGGGATAATTTATGTTCCTTTTCTTGGTGGAGGGGAAAACATCCCTTGCATTTACCTTCTAGTTATGGGTAGAGGCACCAGCCACCAGCCATTATGAAACGCAAGACAATTTGTAAGCTGCCAGGAACAACAATGGATTAGAGAGGAAGGAAGTTGGGGGCGGATGGTGGCTATGGCAAGAAAACTTGATGTGTATGGTAAGTGTAAATGAAGGTCTATCACAAATGCATTAAAAATTGTTTTATGTAGCCAAGTTTATGTTTTGATACTTTAATTTTAAAAAGGATGATGACTATGCATTTACCATCAAGGCATTTAGTTTCTTTTGTTTCACATTTAGAGGAAAGGGAAGGTGGGGGGATCTGAGAGAATAAACTTAGATGGGGCCACCACCAATATCAAGCACCCGGTTTGGCAGTGTCTGCACTGAGCTGTCTCCTGTTGGTAGTGGTGATGTCACACTGCCAGGGTGTGGAAAGCCACCCTCCCTCCTCTCTCTTGCCTTCCACCTGCCCCTTTGGCTTTCCCTGAGAGCTGGCCTGACACCTGTTTCAGAGTCAAGAGCTTTTAAAGGGTTCTGGCCCAGGACAGGAGTTCTGGAATGGAATCTTTCCACTTTCTGTTAACTAAAATACTATTTTCCATCTGTATCCTAATTTCTCCCCATGGGCTTTGAATAAACCCTCAACACTCCAACCCATATCAAGCTTTCTCCTCTCTTCCCTGTCCCGTAACCTCTGGTTGGGTTCATGTACTGTTTCTTTGTGGCGTGAACAGCGTTTCCAATTAGAATCTGCCTGAAAGGAGGTCCCATTTGCCCACTGAGCATCCTGTGTTCTCATGGTGGCTCTAACTCCAGAAGATTTTAACACAGTCTCATCAAACACTGCTTTCAGGGAGGAATTTACACTGAGGTTAAAAGGACTGTTGAGGACTAATGCTAACAGAAGCTAACATTTATTGCGTAGGACAATACACTAAACACTTCACATGTATTATCCCATTTAATCCTCACAACAACTGCTACCCCCATTTTACAGATGAGGGAGTGGAGAGCTCAGTAACTTGCTCGAGGTCTCACAGTGGATCTTTCCAAAGCTGAAGCCTATGCTTGTTTTCAACAGCAATGATTTCAAACAAGAGTATATACATTTGTGTGTGTGTGCGTGGTAAGATATACAAAAAATTTGCCATTGTAACTATTTTGAAGTGTACAATTCAGTGCCATTAAGTACATTCACAATGCAGTGTAACCATTACTATCTAGTTCCAGAACTTTTTCACTGTCCCCAAAGGAAATCCTGTACCCATTAAGGAGTCACTCTTCATTCCCCTTCCTTCCAGTCTCTGGCAACCACTAATCTGTCTTCTGTTTCTATGGACTTGCCTGCGCTGGATATTTTATGTAAATAGCATCATACAATATGTGGCCTTTCGCACAATACGGCTGGCTTCTTTCACTTAGCATAATGTTTTCAAGTGTCAGCCTAGCGTATTATGTAATAGTACCTTATTTCTCTTTATGGCTGAATAGTATTCTGTTGTATGGATACTATACTTTTTGTTTATCCATTCATCAGTTGATAGACAGGTGTGTGTATGTTAAGAAACAGCTAGCCTTTATCTTCAAGAACTGAATCTCTAAGGTAGGATTTCAGGCCTGATGTCAAGCTGGGAGAAAAGAGAGTTGGAAGCAGGTGCTCCTTTTCAGGACTTCCAGGTAACAGCTTGGAAATTACTTATTCCTGGGCTCGCTCTGTGGGCATGGCAAGGCAGGAGGTATAGTAGCACCTGTTCCCCATGGATGTAAATGGCTTCCAAAGTACTTCTGCATAGTAGAGAGGTTAGTAGAGGAGGGCCTTTGATAGGCTCCTGGAATGTAAGCTCACACTTTCCATCCTACCCTCTTCTCCCGGCATTTCACAGGGTAGGGGGTAAGAAGAGGCACGGGGCAAACACTGGGGGCCTTGAGAAAATATTTGGGCTCCCTGACACAGGATGTTGGTATAAACATGATGGAGGAGAAATAGAGGTGGCCCCTTGGATAATTTAATCCCCCACTCAGCCCAGCCCCTTTCTGAAGTGGTTGTCCTGGATTCTCCATAACATGCATGCATACACACACACACACACACACACACACACAGAATTAATTATGCAACTTATTTGGCTTGCCCAAGCTTTTTTTGTAAGTTCTGTAGTGGTTCAGAAGGAAGATTTTAAAAGCAGCAAGACCTGTATTCAAATAATACCTCCACTGCCTACGAGTTCTACAAATGCAGGTATGTTTCACAACTTCAGGTTTTTTTTACCTGTAAGATGAGAAGCGTTGCAATAGTATCAAACTGGAATGGAGTTTGATACATAGTATGGCGCCTAGAAGAAGCAATCTCTCATGTTATTATTAAAGGTTGAGGTTATTACTAAAGATTTCCATTGTCAGCATGAACTGAGATTTTATGGAAGAGTGGGCTAAGAACCAAGACTGCGAATTCTAGGTTAAAAAAAAATTTAAACCGTGTACTCAAATGGTTCAAATTTATCCCATCATCTTGCGTTCCTGTAGACTCTGCCTAGTTGCTGAATCTTTTGAATTTGGGGTGAGGAAGGGGAAGCAACCACACATTTTCTCATTTGAAAAATTTTTATTTTGGCACCCACTTGAGTACCTGGCACGGTGGGGCTGTCCTCTATGGGGGCAATGGAGTATTAGTGAGGGCATTGTGGCCCTGGCCTGGGGGATGAGAACAAAGGGGTATGTGACAGCAACAGGTCACAAAGGGAAGCAGAAGATAAATATGGCTGCACAGGGGGTTTAGGCAGAGAGGGTCGTCACTTCCTGTCACTAGGACTACAGTTTGTAGTCTCTCTCAGGGAGAGAGACTACAAACTGTAATTAAAAAAATCAGAGGTGGAGGTCAGGGGGTTAGGTCCAGAAGAAAACCTCTCTGGAGCCCACCCTGCATCTCTACGTCTTGGAAGAGTCTGGAGTCCAGGCACCCTACAGCACCCCCCACAGCAATCATCCGTGCTCCCACCCCCACCCCGGCCTCTGGGAGGCTCTGAGGCAACAGTGGGGGCCTGTGGGGTGGGGTGGGATTGAGAGACCAGCTGCAGAGACATCTTTGTGACCCAGGAGCACCACTGGTCCCTCATCTGCCACCGAGGCCAAGGAAGACCCAGAGACCTGCCTCACCAGTGCTGCCGTTGTGCTGAAAGACAACCATGAATGCTGATTTTCTGCTGCCGTATTATACGGCCCAGAGTGGCTCCAGCATGAGCATGTTCAACACCACCATGGGGAAACTGCAGCGACAACTGTACAAGGGGGAGTACGATATATTCAAGTATGCACCGATATTTGAGAGCGACTTTATCCAGATCACCAAAAGGGGAGAAGTGATTGATGTGCACAACCGTGTCCGTATGGTGACCATGGGCATTGCACGTACCAGCCCCATCCTCCCACTCCCAGATGTCATGCTACTGGCACGACCGGCCACCGGCTGCGAAGAGTATGCTGGACATGGCCAGGCCACCAAGAGAAAAAAACGCAAGGCAGCAAAGAACTTAGAGCTCACCAGGCTTCTGCCCCTGAGGTTTGTACGGATCTCTGTTCAAGACCATGAGAAACAACAGCTGCGCCTGAAGTTCGCCACTGGCAGATCTTGCTATCTGCAATTGTGTCCCGCTCTTGACACACGGGATGACCTCTTTGCCTATTGGGAAAAACTAATTTACCTCTTGCGGCCACCCATGGAGAGTAACAGCAGTACCTGTGGCATTCCAGCTGAAGACATGATGTGGATGCCTGTGTTTCAGGAAGACAGGAGGAGCCTGGGAGCCGTGAACCTTCAAGGAAAGGGGGATCAGGACCAGGTCAGCATCCAAAGCCTCCACATGGTCTCTGAGGTGTGTGGGGCCACCTCTGCTGCTTATGCTGGAGGGGAGGGACTCCAAAATGACTTTAACAAACCCACTAATGTGCTCAATGCATCCATCCCCAAAACATCTACAGAACTTGCTGAGGAGCCAGCAACAGGGGGGATTAAAGAGGCAGCAGCAGCAGGGGCAGCTGCAGGGGCAGCAACAGGCACCGTAGCAGGTGCCTTGAGTGTGGCAGCAGCCAATTCTGCCCCTGGACAGGTGAGCGCAGCCATAGCTGGGGCGGCCACCATCGGTGCAGGAGGAAACAAAGGCAACATGGCCCTTGCAGGCACTGCCAGCATGGCTCCAAACAGCACGAAGGTGGCTGTGGCAGGGGCTGCAGGCAAGTCCTCAGAGCATGTTTCCAGCGCATCCATGAGCCTTTCCCGAGAGGGCAGTGTGAGCCTGGCCATTGCAGGAGTAGTACTGACCAGCAGGACAGCTGCAGAAGCAGACATGGATGCAGCAGCGGGACCTCCCGTCTCCACCCGGCAGAGCAAGAGCAGCCTGAGTGGACAGCATGGAAGGGAGCGAACCCAGGCCAGCGCTGAAGGCTGCAAGGAGGGGAGGGAAAGAAGGGAAAAGGACAGGGCTCTCGGAAGGAGTTCCCATCGCCGCAGGACAGGTGAAAGCCGCCACAAAACAAGGGGAGACAAGATTGCCCAAAAGTCCTCCAGCAGGTCCTCATTCAGCCACAGAGCCAATAGAGATGACAAAAAGGAGAAAGGCTGTGGCAACCCGGGGAGCAGCAGGCACAGGGACTCGCATAAAGGTGTCAGCCACACGCCCATCTCAAAGGAGTCCAGGACCTCTCACAAATCTGGGAGGAGCTTATGGACCACCAGTTCCGGTTCCAGCAAGGGACTTGGCAGGGTCAGCTCTTTCCTGAGGAACGTCAGAGCCAACCTTACTACAAAAGTAGTGGGCACACCACATGGCAGAGATGTGAACGTCATGGCTAAGATGGCGGAGAGGAGCACCAACGTGGCCATCGCCGAGACAGCAGAGGGTGGCCAGGGGCTGGAGACGGTTGGTTCTATGACACCGGACATCATGGAGACAGTGACCTTTGAAGCCCATTAAATAAGACCCAGAGCTGGAAGCTGCAAAGGAGCCCAGAGCTCATGGGAGTGTCCCTGGAAAGCCTATTCCAGCGTTCTTTACTGCCGTTTAAATAAAGAATCATACATCTGAAAGTGGCTTGCTGGCTGAATTTTTGTGTCCCACAGCCCAGCAGTGACCTCACAGTGGATTCTGTGATGTCAACTGTGCTGCAGCCTGAGACCCCAGGATCCAGTCAAGGGTAGCCCCACCTCACACCCATGCTCAGCAGAGCCCAGATGAGTGCTCCAGCTTTCCTCAACCCCTTCCTGGCTTTGGTTCGCCAGGACTATGGCTGAAAGTCAGGCTGGGAGCTTGAAGCTCTACCTCCACCATCTCCCCATCCTTTTTATAAACTTGCCCCCTCCCAACCCTGGAAAATCCAAAGACGAAGCAAGAACAGAACTCTCACCCCCTTGCACTATTCATAGGAGGGAGTAAGGGAGCAGCAGCATGTGTTGGCAACCAGAACAGGGAGGAGCATTGTCTAGACTTAGCAATTCCACCCCTAAGTATACTCCCAAGAAACACACATGTTGCAGGAGACAGCCATGAGAATGTTTGTAGCAAAATAATACTGGAAACTGCCTAAATTTCCATCAACAGAATTGAGAGGGGTATATGCAGTGACAAATAAATGGCAGCTACACACATTAGCGTATTAGCATAGATAAGTTTTGCTCTTTCAAAAACTTTAAAAAGCAAATTGCAGAATAAGATATAATTCTACCTACAGGACAATTCAAAAACAAGATCAAATACAAATAATATGTTACATATTGGATACATGTTTGGTAAAACAAAACCAAGGGAGTGGGAAAAAATTCAGGACAGTGGTTTTCTCTGGGGTGGAAAGGCAAGAGATTGGATCAAGGAGGTGAACACAGTCTTTCAGTGGTGTTGGGAATTGTTTTAGTTCTTAAGGGAGGCGGTAGGTACAAGGCTGTTTATTATTTTGTTGGGTTTTGCATTTCAACATTGTGTTTTGCATTTTAATACCTCTGGAATCAGAATGGTCCTACAACCACCGTGGCAGTTCTGATGAAGTTATTGCTCCAGACATATATTCACCAATTCCTTCTCCTCAATGCTTTCATTTTTATGCATGCACAAAAGTGATCTAAGTCTGAAAGGCCCATTTTGTTAAGAATCACATGAGAATGACATTATTACCAAAAGCCTTGGGAAAGAAAGAATGATATCCCTATTTTACAGAAGAGGACACTGAGGCTCAAGAGGGTAACTTGCTCCAGTCACACAGAGGGACCTTTGCAGATCTACCAGCCCACTTCTTTATGCAAAGCCCTGTCTGAGACATGGGAAGGAGGCAAACCCAGCAAATCCAAGGAGAATCGGGCAATGCAAGAACCTGAGACTTACCAGGTTCCTACCACCATGGTCTAAAACTTTATAGAGATGAGCACCAAAATTCCTGGATTGAGAGGAGGGAATGTGGGGGCAGGGGACATGTCTGGTGGTGAGCTGCTGTGAGTTGGCTTTGGAACTTCAATGAGCTCATAGTCCTTAGTTGGCCTTATCTCAAGAGTGTCCAGACCACCCTTAAGCCATGTCTGGCTCCCAGGCTTCGCTCCCCAGCCTCTGCCTCAGCTATAAACAGACCTCCCTCCTGGAATTCCAGGCCTTGCTCCCCAACAGGGATCGCTTCTGACGGGGGCTGCATCTCTTTGCAGCCCAGTCCTCGCCCAGCTGCTAATAAAACATTTAAAAGCCAGGCCCAGAATGGTTTCTCCGTACCAGATCTTCAGGAAATTTTTTCTGCTGGGATTCCAAACCACACGTGAGGGGGTAACGAGTTAGGTCACAGCATCCTTGCTACTTGGACCTCCACAGTTAATTCCTAAAGCTACTTTTGAGAAAAGTCACACATTTCATTATGCAGGTAAGGAGAGGTCTCTTCTGTCCACAGAGGGAATTGTAGGCATGAATCCATGAAAGAAAGGGGTTTGAGAAAGAAAGAAGGCCCAAGACATACACACAGCCACCATTTCCTTCTGCAAAACAAGGCTCGTGACCCCAGGATGAGGAATTAATGGGGTGAGTCAAGTTATTCTTAATAAAGGGGGGAACATGCCAAAGATTAGATATGAATTGGCTCTGTGAGGAAAACAACCTCAGAATCATTAACCCAGAATTCTAGGGAAGATTGGGGGGCCTGCAGGGGGATGAATTAATGGTTTACTCTTGACCAGCTTTTCCCTTGACCCAAGTGGGGAAATTACAAAAAGATCACATCGCATTCCTTTAATCTTCTGATTTCCACACAGGCAAGTGTAGGTAAACACTAGTCTGGAAGACAAAAATGCAATACAAACATTTGTACAGCCCTTAGCAGTTTATAACACCCTTTCATTACGTGTTCTCTTCTGATTCTCACATCTCTCCATTTTGCAGATCAACAAACTGGAGTTCAGGTCATCTAAAGGACTTGTTCAAGGTGGGAGGTGATGGGGCAGAAGGAACAACTCCAGTGCAACAGCTTTCGGGCACCACCAATGTGTGCTGGCCATGGGTCCCACATGGAGGTACAGAGCCAGTGGAGGACAAAGGACAGGCGTGTGTGTAATTATTGCAACCCTTGAGTGACAGATACAATGAGAGATGCATGTTTAGGGAACAGGATTTGTTCAGAGGAGGGATTCTGGGACACGGGTCAGGAAAGGCTTCGCAGAGGAAGTGGCAGTTTTGAAGGATAAGTAGGGCTGTGCCCGGTGAAGAAAGAATGGGGAGAAAGGGTAAAGGTGGAGGAGGTGTGGAGTGAGGGGTGGAGAGAGGGAATTAGGCCATGGAGAAGAATGTGTGCAAAGTACAAAGGCTTGAAACATCACAGTGTTTTGGGGTGATTGCTGGGTAGAGGGCCAAGGAGAGGAGGGACACAGGGCAGGAAAATCAAGCAGCCAGTTCTTGGGGCCGTGGGGTGCTGTGTGGATGCCTGGCCTTTCGGAGCCACTGGAGGCTGATGTCTGATGGAAGTAAGGGCTGTCTGGCTCCAGGGTAGAGACTTGATGGGCAAGGGGCTCCCTGGAGCCTGGGACCCTTCAGAAAGCCATTGCACTAATCCTGGCCAGAGATGGGAGGCCCTGAACCTAGCTGGCTGTTAGGAAACCAGGGGGAGAGAGTCAAGAGGTGTTGAAAAGACGAAACAGGACAATAGTCTTTTCCATGCCCTGAAAGACAGAGCACACATGGGTTAGGCCTGACACTCTCCTAAAGGAGGCAGAACTGACAAAAGTGGAGACATCTTCCCTCTACCATGACTGTTGTTCTGTAAAGGGGGCTGCAAGCAGAGGGGCTCATGGCAAGCAAGGAGGAAGATGTTAAGGTGTAACACAACAGCTTCTAGACCCATGAGGGGCAAAACACAAGGATAAGGCAGCCAGGTGCGGCTGCGGGGTTTCAGTGCTGGAGACCTCTGAGAGTAGAAGCCTCCTGAACTCTTCTTCCTTTCTCATCTGCTGGGAACTGGGTCAGATGCTCTCCTACTGGGCCTTTCTCCGCGGGGCATGAGTCGCCCAATAGAGCCTCTGGTGGCCCTGTGCTGTTACTGCAGGTCAGGGCTGGAAGGAGGGGAGCCAGGATTGAGGCTAAGACACAGTCACCCTTCCCCTTTTTCACACCACAATCAGCCTGGTGCTGATTCACCTATAATCAGCTCAATCCCTCAGCTGGCGGCCACCCCTGAGCAGGCAGCTGGCAGAGCTGCGAGCTGGTAAAGATGAGCGTCATCCAGGCAGTGTGGCTCTAGTCTCCTGGCAGTGGGGTGACAGAGCGTGGAATGGCTGCAAGACAGGTCCCCTGAGGGGCTGGGATCCCGACTCAAGGGGACAGTGAGTAACTGCCAAGAGTCGGGGTGGGGTGGAGTTCATGTCAGGGTCCCTCTGCAGGCGCTGGTCATTTGAGAAACAATTGTTGAGCACCTACGATGGGCCAAGACGGGAAATCAGGCACAGTGAAGATGCTGCCATACACAGCAGTAACACAAACCCAAGTGGGGGATGGCTCTCGGGCAGCACGCAGAAGGAGGCTTTGCAGAGGAGGGGAGGTCTGAGCAGAAACAGCAGGCTGAGCGCTCCTGGAAGAGGCTATGGCATGACAGGGAAAGAGAAGGGCTTGGGTGACATGGGCCTCTTCATAGATGGCAGACAAGCTCAGTGTGCCCAGGCGCAATGTGTGATGTGCTGGAGGAGAGTAGGGGGTGGGGGGCGAGCAGTGGGAAGGAGCATGACAGTGTGAGGAAAATTAGGCTGAAAGGAGGATGAGATCTGGAAGGGAGGTGGAACTGACTAAAGCAGAGTGTCTTCCCCCTGCAGGGACTGTTGGTTGTAAAGGGGACAGCAAGAAGAGAGGCTCACAGGAAAGCAAGGAGGAGTGTGTGGCTTTCCAGGTCTCCATTCCCGAATGCTGCATAACTCCCCTGAGTCCTGTGATTTTTCACTACCCAAATGGGAGCTATAGTGCAGGGGTGAGGGGTGTGCACAGCTGGGCTCTTTGAGAACAAAAGGGCAAAGGAAGCCCAGACTCTTCCCCTTTGCCAGTTTAGAGAACCTGAAATGTGTTGTGGAGGCCTGTGTCTTCCCCACACTCTCTAATGGGAGCTTTCCCACAGATGTGCCAAGGTATTGATCTCTCTCTTCTTGGGGGCGGCTGAAGGATGAGTCCAGTCAGCATTGACTGCAAGGATCCCCAACTGGTATGCCAGTGTGCCATTCCGATGTTGTCATTTTCTGCGTATGCCATGGTCTGCAAAAGGTTGGGAAGCATCTTCCTAGACATGCACACAACACCGTGAGTGTGAACTATGAGCACAGAAGCCAGGAGCAGATGAGAGGCACCTTCCTTAAAGAGCTGGCCTGTTCCTCACAGCATCAGTTGATGCCAGTCTTGTCACCCCTGTTTTCTTTTCCCACTGACATTGGCATAGCCCCAGAACCCTGTCTTAAAGCAATTTACACTGCTTCAAGGAGAGATGAGGAAAATGTGGACAAATATAGTACATTTTTCGTAAAACTGTTCATAAAGTTAAATTTAGTTTTTAAAGACTTGTTCTGGCTGGGCATGGTGGCTCACATCTGTAATCCCAGAACTTTGGGAGGCTGAGGCAGGCAGATCACCTGAGGTCAGGAGTTCAAGACCAGCCTGGCCAACATGGTGAAACCCTGTCTCTACTGAAAATACAAAAATTAGCCGGTCTGGTGGTGCACGCCTGTAATCCCAGCTACTCGGGAGGCTGAGGCAGGAGAATTGCTTGAATTTGGGAGGCAGAGGTTGCAGTGAGCCGAGATCCCGCCACTGCACTCCAGCCTGGGCAACAGAGCAAGACTCTGTCTCAAAACAAAATAAAACAAACAAACAAACAACAACAAAAAAACTGTCCTTTGCTTTGAGACTATGTCCTTCCTCCTGTATCTTAATGTTTCATTTTGAAGTATATCACACATGCAGAGCAGTGCACAGGTCAAAAGCATACCACTCAATGGTATTTCATAAAGTGAGCAACCCCATGCAACTAGCACCCAGATGAAGAACCAAAACATCACGGTACCCCCAATACCCCTCTCATGTTCTCTTTCAGTCACTACCCCTAAGGGTAACCACTATCCTAACTTCTAACACCATAAATTAATGTTGCTTCCTTTTCCCACTATATATAAATGGAATCACAAAATAATGTACTTTTTTGACTGTGGTTTCTTTCAGCATCATGTTTATGAGATTTGTCCATGTCTTTTCTGTTAATAGTTCATTCATTCTCTTTGCTATACAATATTCCATGGTGTGAATATAGTACAATTTCATTCTGCTGTTGATGGGCATTTGGGTTATTTCCACTTTCTGGATACTAAAACATCACTGCTTCTCCCTTGACTGGAGCAAAAAAAAAAAAAAAAAAAAAAAAAAAAGAAAAGATTACTGCTATGGACATTTGTACACAGATCTTTTGGTTAAAACGCTCATAAATTTTTGTAGGATATATACTTAAGAATACAATTGAATATATGCATATTTTCAGCTTTAGTGGATACTACCAAGCTATTTCCTAAAGTGGCTATGCCATTTTACACTGCCACCAGGCATATATGAGAGTTCTGGTTGTTTCATATCTTTGTCAAAATTTGATAGTGTTTATCTCTTTCATTTTAGCCATTCTGGTTGGATGTAGTACCTTTTCTCCCTTTTTCATGATAAACTGTACTTTAAAAAATACAACATGGCTGGGCACAGTGGCTCATGCCTGTAATCCTAGCACTTTGGGAGGCTAAGGTGGGAGGATCACTTGAGCCCAGGAATTTGAGACCAGCCTGGGCAATATAGTAATGATACAGGAGTTAAGAAGAAATTACTTAGGCAGATAGTGAGGGTCTGGGAGTCCTTGGTAAGGTTTTTCTTTTCATGAAAAGCAGTCTCAAAATAGTTTTTTGTTTTTTTTTCTACAAAGAGCAGCCTGTAAAATCGAGCTGCAGACATAGGTAAGCAAGCTGGAAGCTTGTACAGGTGAATGCCAGCAGTTGTGCCAACAGGAAAAGGCTACCTGGGACTAGGCATGTTCAAAATGGCAGCTTCATCTTCCCTTCCCTTTGTCAAACCACATGTACAGTAAGGAGAAGACAATATGGCGCCAGCCAGGCAAAGACTCCATTTACATAATAAGATTAGGGTGGGGCATGCAGCCTTCCGTGAATACTATGTAAACATCATACTGGTCAAACCAATCTGTGAACCCTACATAAATCAGACACTGCCTTCTCAAGCTTGCCTATAAAATCGGGTGTAGTCCACCGCAGGCTGGGTTTTCCCCTTTGGGAGCCCCTCTCTTTTGCAAGGGAGAGAGCTGTTCTCCTTTCTCTTTCTTTTGCCTATTAAACCTCTGCTCCTAAACTTACTCTTCATGTGTGTTCATGTCCTTAATCTTCTTGGCTCGAGATGATGAACCCGGGTATTTACCCCAGGCAACAACACTGCTTCATTGAGACCTCATCTCTACTAAAAAAAAATTAAAAATTAGTTGGGCATGGTAGTGCATACCTGTATTCCTGGCTACTTGGAAGGCTGAGGTGGGAGGACGATTTGAGCCTGGGACAGGGAGGGTGCAGTGAACCAAGACTGCGCCACTGCACTGCAATGTGTGTGGCAGAGTGAGACTCTGTCTCAAAAACAAAAACGATATAATGACCTATAGAAGATGGTAGTTTTGTACTAAAGTCCTTAATGGGCAAATTGAAAGTTGGCTTCCAGATTTCTTTTTTTTTTTTTTTTGAGACGGAATCTTACTCTGTCACCCAGGCTGGAGTGCAGTGGCACGATCTTGGCTCACTGCAAGCTCCACCTCCCAGGTTCATGCCATTCTCCTGCCTCAGCCTCCTGAGTACCTGGGACTATAGGCGCCTGCCACCACGCCCAGTTAATTTTTTGTATTTTTTAGTAGAGACGGGGTTTCACTGTGTTAGCCAGGATGGTCTCGATCTCCTGACCTTGTGATCCACCTGCCTCAGCCTCCCAAAGTGCTGGGATTACAGGCGTGAGCCACCACGCCCAGCCTCCAGATTTCTTTTGAAATTTCACACCTCTAAAATCTTGAAGTCTTATTTATACATTTTTAAGGATTTTTCATTGCTGTTTGAAACAAGCGTTTAAAAAACAAAAACAAAAAAATCTCCTGCCATCCTGTTCCAGTGTGTTTTGTTTTATAAAAAAAATCTAGGCACAAACACAGCAGGAATTTGGGTAGGGCTCAGCTAGGTGATTCTTCCGCTCCCTGTGGTATAAAGTGAAATTGATCAGTAATACTTAGCTGCAGCATGGGCTGGTCTGGAGAGTCCAAGATAGCTTCATTCACTTATTTGATAAGCCTTGAGGGAAATGATTAGAAGGCAGGGTTCAGCTAGGATTGTCAACAGGAATGCCAATGTGTGGCTTCTCCAGCACAATGGCCTCAGGTAGTCAGATTGGCTTCCCTCAGAACAAATGTCTCAAAGTAACTAAGGGAAAGCTGCTTCTGACCAAGCCTCAGAAGTCACTTGGAATAACTTCCACCACATTTTATTGTTCATGCAAGTCTTACGGCCAGCTCAGATTTAAAGGGAGAGAAACTAGACTGCATTTATCTTGGTAGAGAAATGGCAAGATCACATTGTATAACAGCATGTGAGATGGCAATACTATTGTGACTCTCTTTGAAAAAATACCATTTTCCACACCCTCACAATCTACCCTGCCCCTAAGAAAGTAAACCTGGCCAGGATGTATCTGAAGAGTACTGAGAAATTGCAGCAGACATCTCTATCTTTTGTACTTTCCTTATCTCCCTCTTTTACACTCTGCCTTCTTCCACCTTTTCACTTTATTTTCTTACTTCCCTTTCTTTCCCCCAGTCTTTTAGTTAACTAAACTCACAAGGACATATCTTAGTGTGTTCCTCCCCATCTCTCCTACACATCTGTAAATCTTTGATCCCTGGGTGACAGAGAGATTACTGGGACACTTAGACCATAGCATGTCAGGCTTGGAAGGGTCTTGACTAATCCCAGATGCACTTTTACATATGAGGAAATTGAGACCTAGAGAAGGGACTTTCCCAAGGTCCTACTTCAAGTAAGTAGCAGAGTTCTGGCTAGCACAGCAAAAATCATAGCCTAGAGTGGGTCTCAAAGAATGTCAACAGCTTCCTTTCAGTTTCAAATGCCTGGAACTAAAGCCACTTGTTTCTGTTTCACATTAATTGCCTCATCATTCCAATGTCTTTAGGCCTCTTGGTGAAGGAATGAAACCAATGCTAACAGGCCCCTGTGCCCAGAGAGGCCTGCCCCAGCCCTGGCTTTGGTCCCAGTCTTCAGAGATGGATGAGGGGCTTGTGAATGGAGCAAGCTGGGATCAGTGCAACAGCCCCTGCATCCAGCCCCTGACACCCCCGACATAGCAGCTGCTCCTTTCTAGTGCTGAAGTCCAGGGATTCTCTGAACTCTAACACCAACTGGCAGCCTATAGTCCACTTTTGAAATCTTCTGGGCATCTAGAGATGGTGAATTTAGCTGATAATGACTGCGGTCAGGCCGAGGATAAATCTGAGGTGATATAGGCCAAGAAAACACAACTCTCTGGTCAGGCCCAAGAGACAGCAACTCCGTCATGTTCAAGTCTGTTTCCTCTGATAACAGCTCCAAACAGGCGGAAGCTAGGGGTCGAGGTGGGGGTTGGGGGAGCCCAAGTGGGGCCACCAGCCATCCCATAGCATTAGCGGCTGGATCTTGAGAGGAAGGGCAAGGCTGCAGTAAATGGAGGGGCTTGGCACCGTGCTCCGGAATCCGAATAGTTAGTGATGTGGAGAAAGACCTTCTAAGAAGCCTCTCAGAACTTCTTTTTAAAAATCCACCAGCACATTGCTTTTAGCTGCAAGACAGCAGCTCTGCAAATCAGTGATAAGCTGAGAGTGCCACCTGGGTGTGCTGTCACCGTGGGGCCACAATGAAAGCCTCAAGGCTTCTGTGTGCCTGGGGCAGGGGGAGAAATAGTCTCCATGGACGACTCTGTTGATAAGAAGGGACTGAGATAATTATTTTAATTGGTATAGCCTGCAACCTCCTTTAGGGGAGTGGCCGTGTTTCTGGGTATCCAGGTCTACCACAGTTTGGCACATATTAGGAGCTCCACAAATACTTGTTATAAAGACCTTCTGGTCCTCCATCCAGGCATGATGGCATCCGTACATCCCCTCCTCCCGGCCTCCTTCCAGCAGATCTCCGCTAGCTCTGACAGGAGGCCTAGGACAGGGAGAAACCCCACTAAGGATTTTTGGTTTCTCCTGGGCACAGATTCAAGACTAACCAACCTTCCCCAGGGGCCCTCAAAGGGGAGTGGTAGAAACAAGTTATGGAGGGGCCTGTGCCTTTCTTCGTGCCAGGGTCCCTCCTTCCAGCTTGTGGATTCCTTCTCTCCAAAGAAAGGAAGGGACTATTTCTTTCCCTTATACTCTCCTAAAAAAGGAAAGGAAAACTTAAAACAGGAAGAAACATCATTAAACCAGATGATACATCGTCAGCTAACAGTGTCATTTCCCAACCTGTGGTTGGCCAGAGCCTGAACCTGGCCCTCATCCACACAGTGTGCTGCCGTGGCTGCAGCAACTGAAGTTGAAATTGTAAGAGCAGCTGCCACATCGGGCACGGAGCCAAGCAACTGGGGGCCCATCCGGTGTTTCTCTCCAAGCTCTGCAATCTTTCTATTGCATCTTATCAGGGCTGCCGTGTGTCATCACAGCCTCTACTGAGTGCTTCCTCTCTGCCAGCCACTCTTCTAAGAGCTCTACAGGGATTATTGTGCTTAGTTCTTTCCCCACAACTCTATGAAGTAGGCATTATTGTTCCCATACAGATGAGGAAACTGAGGCATAGAGGAGTTACAAGAACTTACCCAAGGCCCCCAGAGGTGCAGCCAGGATTAAATCCCAAGGGGGTGACACTGGAGCCCACACTCCTGGCCCCATCATGGGCTGACTCTGCAGAACGCACGGCCTTAGAAGGCTTCCAACCTACACTGTGGTGAGTGGCTGGTCTACAGTCAGCAGTCAATCAGCTCCATGCCTTAGAGCATTGGGTACCATACTAGGTGCCACTCTCTCCCCTGGCTGGGGGACCGCTCCGTTTCTGCCGCAGGCATTGCCTTTCCCTCAGGCACAGGAGTGTCTTGGCCACAGGGAGAATGAGCTACATGTGTGGGTAGCGGAGCAGCTTGTAATTTCTAGAAAGAGAACTTGGAGTCCCATCTTGCTGTCATCTGCTGCGTCTGGATTCACTTTCAAATTTCTCGTCTGTACCTGTGGGCTCTTTGTGACACCTCAGACAGTCCCAGGACAGACCTCAGCAAGAAACCCCAGTATAACATAACCTGCCTGGCAAAAGAAAATAGAAACAGGCCAGGCGCAGTGGCTTATGCCTGGAATCCCAGGACTTTGGGAAGCTGAGCTGGGCGGATCACCTGAGGTCAGGAGTTCGAGACCAGCCTGACCAACATGGAGAAACCCCATCTCTACTAAAAATACAAAATTAGCTGGGAGTGGTGGCGCATGCTTGTAATCCCAGCTACCCAAGAGAATGAGGCAGGAGAATTGCTTGAACCCGGGAGGCAGAGGTTGCGGTGAGTAGAGACTGCACCGTTGGGAAACTCTGTCTCAAAACAAACAAACAAACAAACAACAGAATAAACAAACAAGAAAATAGATACAGCCCCTGCCTGACCATACACTCTCTGCCTTTAAACAGAAACTTCCTAGATCACCACGTCCCCTTTCCATTCTCAACTAGCCATGCAGTGCTTGCCTGCCGGCTTGCCTCTACTTAACCCCCGAATCTTGCCCCCTCTTACCTCTCCTCTCTGGCTCTCTCCTGTTCCTACGCTAGGGATCCACTTCCCACGGGCTGTCTCAATCCTGAGTCAGATTCTCTGTCCTCCTCCTTCTACATCTGCTCCCACCCCTGTACCCAGCTCACTCTCTTTCTCCCACACTCTGTCTTTATTCCAACTCCTTGCTTTTTCCTGGCTTCCTTGCCTTTTTGCCTTTACCCAAAACTGAGGATCCCTCCTCACCCAACTCCTAGCCCATCAAACACAACTCCCACACCTACCGCATAACTCTAATCCTCTCTCCTAGGCTCCAACACATTGAGGATGAAGCCTCAGGGTCCAGACAACAGAGGACCCCCTGGCAGGCTTCTTAGTGGGCCCAGGGTGAAAATCTGCTGGCCAAGGGGATGATGAGACCTGTTTCTTACAACTCAGTGCTGTGTGCTCTGAGGCTGAAGCTGTCTTCCTCTGCCATTTCCCAGGGGCACAGAAGCTTGAGCCTTTTTGCATTAATTCCCTGGCTTGCTTTGACTCAGAGTCCAGGACTTTGTAGCATGCTAATTTATGCAAACCAAATGCAAACGAATATAGAAAACTATGTGACCCTTGATTTACTGGAAATCAGAGGCTCCCCTTACGGGAAGACTTAGGGAAATTTTGGAATCTACTTCCCAAGAGAAATATTAAAATAGAATGGCTTTCAGTTTGGGGTCAGGGAGGGATGTGGCTAGAAGTCATTCAGAGGAAAGAGCACAGTCTGGGTTCCGTGTGCATCCTCTAAGCCACCCAACAGAAGGCAGAGGAAGAAAAACCATCTGGCTGCCAAGCCTGTGCCTCCTTTCTCCTGTCTTGACTCTGAGCTCTGGTTTAGCTCCACAGCCTGTCAAAACCACCCAACAATGTGCATGCCCAAGAACAGAGCCTCTGGGCTGTACTGCCTCTTTGGAAACAGGGTCATTTTATTTATATCTTACTTCCCATGACAGCACTTCACTATTCTCCTCTTCCCTTACATCTCCCTACACTGACCCTCTTGAACTTGGCTCTCACTGGGTATGGCCTGTCAAGTGCACAGAATGTTCTGGGACATTGTTCTGGAACCCGATCAGGGGTTAGGCATTCTGGAGATTCCTATAAAGCAGCCCTCAGAGGATTGCTAAGGGGCAGGTCAACTCAGCCACAAAGGCTTAGGTGCCTCATTTCTTGAAGAAGGGAGAAAAGGACCACTCTGAGAAAGGACAGGAGGGATGCAGGTGGCCCCTGAAGCCTCAGCCCATTCTTCTGATCCTAAACAGAAATGTGCTGAACGACCCCAAAATATAGAAACTGACCTCTTCTGGCCAGGAGCAGTGGCTCATGCCTGTAATCCTAGCACTTGGCAGATCGCTTGAGCACAGGAGTTCGAGACCAGCCGGGGCAACATGGCAAAACCCAGTCTGTACAAAAACACAAACAAATTAGCTGGGCATGGTGGCACCTGTAGTCCTTGCTACTCGCTATTCAGGAGGCTAAGGCAAGAGGATCACTTCAGCCTGGGAGGCAGAGGTTGCAGTGAGCTGAGATGACACCAGTGCACTCCAGCCCGGGCAACAGAGCCAAACCCTGTCAAAAAAGAGAAAGAAAGAGAGAGAGAGAGAGAGAGAGAGAGAGACAGAGAGAGAGAGAGAGACAGAGAGAGAGAGACAGAGAGAGAGAGAGAAAGAAAAAGAAAAGAAAAGAAAGAGAGAAAGAAAAAGAGAGAGAGAAAGAAGAAAAGAAAGAAAGAAGGAAGGAAGGAAGGAAGGGAGGGAGGTGAAAAGAAAAGAAAAGAAGAAAAAAGAAACTGACCTTTTCTTAAAGATCTCAAGAGAAGGAAAGAGTCTTCTTTCCAAAGTCTTTGTAATAGTCCAGTAGTTTCATCAGATTTTTTTCCTTCTATTAACATAAATGCTTGGTGCTGCCATGGAAGTCATTTTGTTCTGGTACTTTCCTCAAGGTAACTAAAGAACCACTGTTCCTGGTTATTCAGATAATAGCTCAGCAAAACCTTCACATATGTTGTGAAAAGACCTTAAGAAAAACTCCCTCAAGCTTCAGGGACCACCTTGCTGCCTCCCTGAAAGATCACTCAAACTCAACCCTCTACTCCCAGGGCATAGGAGCTGTGTGTGCTGATCCATATTCCCCTAATGAGATAAAAGTTTGCTGAAGGACAACTTTCAACTAGCCAATATTTGGGATTGGCCAGAGGAAGGAAAAAGTGCTCATCTGTATATTTAAAATGGGAAGGGCGCACTGGGTACCAAGCACTTCATGTATACTATTTCCTCTAAGTCTCACAACAGTCCCACGAGATCTGTATTACTCCCATTATACAGATGAGGGAACTAAGGCTAAGAAAGTTGAAGTCATTTGCTCAATGTCACAAAGCTGATGAATAGCTGTGGCAGAACCTCTTAATGCTCATTAGTATCCATTTTCTTCATTTTTAGACACATGCTCAACTACATTTCCTAGCTCTCTTGCAGCTAGGCAGGCCACATGACTGAGTTCTGGCCACTGAAATGGGGACAGAAGTGATTTTTTTCCACTTTCAGGCCTGGCCCATAAAGACTTTGCAGATGAACCTCCACTTCCCTTTTTCACATCACTATCTGGATGACCCAGGGTACCATGGAGCCATGTGATGAAGATGGGAGGAGCTTGGATCCCTGAATGACTACATGGAACAGAGCATCCTTCATCCTGCCCTCTGCCCCCTGCACTAGACTATGACTTAGATGAGATAAAGTTTCACTGTGTTATGCCACTGAGAGTTTATCCTCAATAACAGCGTGTTGGGGTCAAGATCTGAAACCAAGCATGTCAAACTCCAAAGACCATCTTTTCTCATTAAGCCGTATGGCCAAACAATATAGCAGAAATGCAAAAGTTAAACTATAAAATGTTATCTACTTCGTCTCTCCCCCTCTGTGCGTCTCCCATAACCAAGAACTAGATTCCTAGAACCAAGAACTTTAGATTCCTAAAGATTTTAGAGAAATTGCCTATACAAAAACATAAAATCAAGCAAGTAACTGATAAATATTTGTTGACTGCATACAACAACATGGGAGAAAAAACTGCTTTTGTTGTTATTGGAGAGCTGGAGAAACCCTTTCAGCATTCATGCCAAAAAGAGTCCTCTCCACCACCTTCGTCCAAGAACCACGTCCACCTGTGGCTTCATCCCATGTATGTGGAGCTATGAATTTAGAGGACATGGAACATGGTTGTGGCCATTATGAAAGCCTACCAAAGACATGGAACGTGGTTGTTGCCATCATGAAAACCTACCAAAGCCATTATCAGTGATTGATAGCTCACCATTGCATCCTGTCATCCCTGCCCCAAGCCAATGAGAGCTGAGTAAATATCATATAAAGACTACACTATGATCATGACAAAAGAAACAGACTTAATCAGCCTTTCCCCCATAGGCTGTCATTCTACAAAATATAAGCTAAGATTAACCAGTAGTTTTGGCATGATAGAATCAGACCAATCTGATTTTGAAATGAGGGGCAGGAAAAGGATTATTGGCAAGAAGGGAAAAATAAAGGGTAAAGGTTTTAAAATTTTTCCATTAAGATAGGAAATTGGCCGGGCGAGGTGGCTCACACCTATAATCCCAGCACTTTGGGAGGCTGAGGCGGGCAGATCACCTGAGGTCAGGAGTTAGAGACCAGCCTGGCCAACATGGTGAAACCCCGTCTCTACTAAAAATACCAAAAAATTAGCCGGGTGTGGTGGCAGGTGCCTGTAATCCCAGCTACTTGGGAGGCTGAGGCAGAAGAATTGCTTGAACCTAGGAGGTGGAGGTTGTAGTGAGCCGAGGTCGTGCCATTGCACTCTAGCCTGGGCAACAAGAACAAAACCCTGTCTCAAAAAAAAAAAAAAAAAAAAAAGATAAGAAATCCTTTAGGCATAATTTACAGGGGCTAGGAAGATCTCTCCTGTTCCCCTCAAACATTTCCACCAAGGTCTAGAGAATAATTAATTGTTTTTTTTTTCTTTTTTTTTTTTTTTGAGACAGCCTGTTGCCCAGGCTGGAGTGCAGTGATGTAAACACAGCTCACTGCAGCCCCACATGCTTGGATTATGAGTGTTGAGCCACTGTACCCAGTGAGAGAATTGATTCTTGGTCTTAACACTTTGTCCCTCCCCCTTTAAATGCTGGGCTGGTCTCTCTGGAAGAGTAACCCACAACTGTCTTATTAATCAATTATGCTTTATTGTGATTCCGGACTTGGGGGGAATTAATATTTATTGAGTCCTTATAATCTGCCAATTATGGTTTCAGGATCTTTAAATACATTGTTTTGGCTGAGTGTCGTGCCTCAGACCTGTAATCCCGACACTTTGGGAGGCTGAGGCGGGAGGACTGCTTGAGGCCAGAAGTTTGAGACTAGCCTCGGCAACATAGTGAGAATCTCTCTCTACAAAAATTTTAAAAATTATCTAGGCATGGTGGCACGTGCCTGTAGTCCTAGCTACTCACGGGAGGCTGAAGCGGGAAGATCACTTGACCCCAGGAGTTTAAGGTTGCAGTGAGCTGATGACACCATTGCACTCCAGGCCAGGCAACAGAGCAAAATGCTACCCTTCAAAACAACAACAACAACAACTACATATATTTTTTTTTACTCAATTTTCACCTTTTACAGATGGGCAAACTGAGACTCAGAGAAATTTGTAATGGCCCATGACCACAGTGGCGGAAGCTGGATTTGAACTCAGCTTTGTCTGATTCCAAAGCCCTTGCTCATTGCACTATGCCAGTGTTTCTTTTTTTTCTTTTCTTTTTTTTTTTTTTTTTTTGAGATGGAGTCTCGTTCTGTCAACCAGGCTGGAGTGCAGTCATGTGGTCTTGGCTCACTGCAACCTGCACCTCCCAGGCTCAAGTGATTCTCGTGCCTCAGCCTCCCAAGTAGCTGGAACTACAGGTACCTGCCACCACGCCCGGCTAATTTTTTGTATTTTTAGTAGAGAGGGGGTTTCACCAAGTTAGCCAGGATGGTCTCGATCTCCTGACCTTGTGATCCGCCCACCTCGGCCTCCCAAAGTGCTGGGATTACAGGCATGAGCCACCACGCCCGGCCGCTAAGTGTCTTTAATTGTGTAGCAGAGACACTAGCTGTCCCACTGTAAATACTTTCTCCTTCTCCCTCAATACTACAACCTCCAACTTGTGTCTGGATCCAAGGCTGTCTGGAGTAAAGACTATGCTTCCCAGCCTTCCTTGCAGCTAGGTGTGGGCATGTGACTAAGATCTGCCAATGAGATCTGTAAATGGAAAGATGTGATCAGGGCTGATAGTTACACCACATGCCCAGATAGAGATGTACCTGTTGTTTATAGCTGGTATTCGTTCTGATTAACTGAAACCCATGCCTTACTGGTCGTTAAATATTTCCAAAATTACTCCCGGTGTAAAACTTTTAAGAAGTCTCCTTAAAGGGACAGGCATGTCCTTCTGCCATCCTTCAGTCTTCCTTCCTGCTGGCTAGAATGTGGACCCTGATCACTCACTCCACTTTGGATCATGAAGATGAGGGCCACAACCTGAAGAGGGTGAAACTGAAAGCTGGAAGGGTCCTGGGTCTCGGTGACTCCTTGGATGGCCTACCTTTGGACTTTTACATGAGAGAAGAAAACCTTTTTGTGTTAAGTCACTGGTCATTTGTGTTTTCAGTCTTTCTCAAAATAACTGTATTCTAGGGTTTGCTCTGACCATGCTGCTTAACAAACAACCCTGAAATCTCAGATGGCAATTGTATTTATTTCTCATTCAATAGCCTGCACATCGGATGTTGTGGCTCCGCTTCAGGCTGTGGGTCTTTGTCCTGGGACTAGCAGACACTCAGGACAAGCTCTAGCAGACACTCAGGACAAGCTCTCCTCATGACCAGTAAAGCTCAGGAGATGAAGCCAAAACACACAAACCCATTTAAAGCTCCTGCTAGTGTTTCTCTCATATTCCATTGGCCAAAACAAGTCACAAGACAGCCTGACATCAAGGGGAGAGAAAATAGGGGAAGAAAGGATAAACACATGCTGTTGATACACAGAATTGATACATGTGCAACCCAGGCCTACAGCTCACAGGCACCAGGGGCTTCTGAACATTCTGGGCTCCTTCCAGCCCTCCCAGCATCGCTGAGGCGGGGTGGGGGGACCACTGCTCCCTCCCTGATCATGGCCTGAAATTCCAAGTGTTTGCCCCCCACCCCAACCCCAAGGACACTACCAAGTAGGTGGCAACAGGAAAGTCTCTCTTCCTTTGACTGCCCCTCTCTACAGTCACCCCAGACCACACACCAGGCTGTACAGGTGTCTCTGGCAGTCTTTCCCAAAGGGGTGAGGGGAAATGTTAAAGCTGGGAGCTCTGCTGCCTTACATTTGTGTGTCTCCCAAGGCTCCCCTTCTTCCAAACTTCCTTTGAGAATTTCTACCCAGTGGCTGTGTGCAGGTCCTTCCCACACATCCAGGAGCACCTGGCACTTCTGGAAGTTTGCTCAGAAGAGGAAGGAAGTGCATTTCCTACAGTTCCCCAATGAACCTCTCCCAGGGCCTCATCATCCAACTGCCAGGACCCACCCCCAATTCATTAACCATAAGGTTTAGGGAGGGGACTTGGCAAATCAGCCTCAGCCATATCCAAATGCCTGAAAGAAAACACCAAGAGAAGTTGGGGGGCAGGGTGAACGTTGGGGATATTGCCAGTAGGTAAGTGGGTCTGGGGGAAGAACAGACCTGGAAGATTTTACCACTGACTATGTGACCTCTGGCAAACCAATCTCTTTTCTGGGCCTTTATTTGTTTTAGTGTTGTTTTATTTGTTGAAAGAAGGGGATTGCCCTTGATGGCATTTAAGGTTTCTTCTAGTTCTAACAGCCTGTGATCTAAGGAGCAAGGGGTGAGAAGGAAAAGACCAGCAGATGGGTGCCCAGAGGGACACAGCACGGTGGGGGCCCAGTCATCTGGGGATAGCATGAGGCTAAAGTTCAAGTTCTTCAGCCCTTATCAGATTGTAGTCCTTATCACCAAGCTTAGCTTTACCTCTCAGCCACATTCAGGGCCATGGACTAAGGCCACGAAAATTGTGCACAACAGGGGCTACCTATCATGATGACTGCAGTATGTATGGCATCCCCTGGAGTTAGAGCAGTTCTGTCCTCATCGGTCACCACTCTCTGCCTCAAACCTCAGTTCCAGCAACTCCAAACTACCTTCAGTTCTCAGCACACGTCATGGTGCCTTCCGCAGTTCCCTCTCCCTGCTACACCACTATCCCTTGATCTCCCTTCCCCTGCCCCAACCTTCCTCTGACTATTGCCTACTCATCCTTCAACATTCAGCTGAGTGTCCTCCCCACCCAGGTTCAGAGCCCCTCTGCGTTACTCCCATAATGCCTTATTACTGCACTCACTACACTGTATTGTACCTATCTGCTGTGAACCTCAAACTACTGTCTTACTAGACTCCAAGCTTTCTTGGGGGCTGAGGGGAGAAATTGTATCTTATCTATCTTATTTTATGCCCAATGTCTTTCACAATACCAGACAAATGATAAACGGGCAATGTTTGATGCATGAACAAAGAAACAAACGAACTGGGAAGGAAAACTAAAAGGAATGTCACATGCAGATGGTATAGGCCACCTTTGTTTCTCCCCCACACTCCAGCTGCCACACATACTACATCTATAGTTCAGTGAAATCATGTCAATAAACACCAAGGGTGAATGGTAACCTTTGAGCTAGGGAAAATAAATTGCCTGGGGAAGAAGCCTGTTGTCTGGTAGGCAAGAAAAGCCTTCCTTAGTGATGGTGGAGAGGAGAGTAAGGTTGGGGTGTAAGGTCGACTGGGGGCAGGATAGTCAGGAAAGAAGTCTCGAGGCGAGCAGGACTTGAGGGGCCAGTGGGGAGGAGGCTGGGTTTGGTGGGCAGATGGAGACCAAGCTGTCACACACCTGTGGCTCCACCGAGACAAGAAAGAGCCTGTGGCCTGGCCAGAGAGGGAGAAGAGGATTTGAGATGGAAATCTGAGTATGAGGTGTATGAGAGCAGTGGGAGAGCTCCAGCTGAAGGGGACTGAGACACAGAGGGACCCAGAGGGCAGAAGGAGGTGGCGCCCCTCCGCCCCCTTCTCCCACTCCCCCGGACTGTGCCCAAGGTGTCCAGAGCTGCCTCAAGCCCGGTGGTCTAAGCAGGAGACTTGGTGACGCTCCTTCAGGGACTGGCTTCAGGAAGTTAACTGGGCCTGATAATCTGGCGGAAATTTCTGTTTGTTTAGAGAAGATGATTAAAATTGCCTAGTCACTGGATTTGAATACTCAAGAATGAGTTTAATTGAGAAGAGAATGTTTCTTTTTAGATGAGGCAATAACCACCATTGCTGGGTTTGTTTGCACCAAGGGGAAGAACTTAAATATCTGAAATGTAACATGTCCTAAGATGATGGCCGGGGTGGGAGCCAGGGCTGACATGAAGTGTAAGGATTGAACCTTACCCTGAAACCTCCATTAAAGAGGTCACTTAGCACGGATTAAAATCCAGGCATTCACGTCAACATACCCTATTGAATCTGCCCTCTCTGGAGCCAGGAGCAGCCAGTTCAGGACTTTCACTGGCCTGGCACCTGGCTCTGGTCTCACTTTACTTCCCATCGCAGTCTGTCGGTCCAGAGGCAGCACTGTGCGACTGCAAGTGTTTGGGCTGTGTGCGCATGTGCAGGTGCGGGTGTGCGCATGCACATCGCTGGCTGTGCGCGGTCTTGCAGCGTGCTTAGGCAAACCTCGCCCCCACCTGGGTCCGGGGCCTCAGCATGGTGAAACTGATGCTGTGCGAACACGTGTTTGATTCAGTTTAAATGGAGGTGGTGCGGACGAATCAAAGTTTTGCATCAATACGGTAGAACTTGCATAATCCAAGACCACCTGTTTCTTTTCTCTGCCTTCCCCATCCAAATCATCCCCAAATCATCCGTGAGAAGCCTCTGCTCCCATCAGTGTCATCCCTGGGGGACCCCATCAGAGAAGGGTGTGGGAGAAGCAGGTGCAGGTCACAGTCCTCCCTAGTCCATCTGCCTCAGAAACTATTCCTGGGGTCGGCGGCGTGAGGGACCCACCACCACGTGTCGTGGGCATTTGCCCCAGCACAGAGTTCACACCCCGTCCCCCAGGACCCCCTTGTGCGGGGGTCTGGGCAATGCATGGACTGGGCCACAGCCCGTGCCCCAAGCGAATGGACTGCATTCTGAGGCACCTGCTCTATTTCTGCCCAGGCCAGGAGCTGTGGATCCAAGCACTGGGCATGGCCACAGCGAACTTCCCTGAACAAGTAGTACTCTTCCAGCTGATGAGTGCACTGGCATTTATTATGGTCGGGCCAGTGCTGGAAGTGGAGATGTCTATAAGATGATTATGAGGACAGGATGGAACTCATACTCTAAGAAAACAAAGAAGTCCATGGAAACGTATATCATGGGTATCTTCAAAAACGACTTGCGTGGCGAGATCTTCAATGTGGCCATCCTTGGCTACCTCAGACCCGAAAGAACTTTGCTTCTTTAGAGTCACTTATTTCGGCAATTCAAGGTGATATTAAGGAAGCTAAGAAACGCCTACATTTACCAGAACATTTGAAACTTAAAGAAGACCATTTCTTCCAGGTTCCTAAAAGCAAAATAATGAACGGCCACTGATTAAAAAAAAAATCTTATTTATTCATTCACTGTATTCTAGTATTTCACTGCTTACAACTGTCCAGTCTCACCTTGGTTATAGTCTTAAAATCAAACATTTTCCCACAGCTGTGAACTAGTTTAAACAAAACAACACAGTTACTATATTGTGCTTCAATTGTTAAATTGTTAACAGGTTTTATTTATTTAAATACATAAAAAGCTTTATCTAAAAATAAAGATTTTCAAAATATGTTGATTAGAATGTACCACTAGAAGGGTATTAAGTGTCTTATAATGGAAATGAAATGTATATAAGTATGGGTTAAAAGGCAAGCCACTAATTTGAGATGAGAACTATAGTTCTCATGGCAAAAACCTTCATGTATGTACTTGCATAGCATATAGTCCTAAACAGAGAAGGCTTATAAAAGTAAATACATTAAATAGGAGTTGTATAGTTTATTATAAACCTAAGGGGAAAACTCCAGACTTTGTATTTGTGATATATGATGCATTAATATATTATTATAAGCATGAAGACATTTGTGAAACTTTTTTTGTCATTTTCTTTTTTCTTTCTATTTATTTATTTATTTTTATTTTTATTTATTTGTTTATTTTTTTGAGACAGGGTCTTGCCCTGTCACCCAGGTTGGAATACAATGGTGATCAAGGTCTATTGCAGCCTTGACCTCCTGGGCTCAAGCAATTCTCTCACCTCAGCCTCCTGAGTAGTTGGGACTACAGGGTGAGCCACCGTGCTCAGCTCAATTTTAAAATATTTTTGTAGAGACAAGGTCTCCCTACGTTGCCTAGGCTGGTCTCAAACTCTTGGCTGAAGCAATCCTCCTGCCTCAGCCTCTTAAAATGCCAGGATTACAGGCCTGAGCCACTGCACCTGGCCTTTAGTCATTATCTGGGCAGTCACATCATTGCACCATTTTCATTTTTGTATAGAGCTGCTTCGGTTCTAAGTGGTCTAGACTCCCTCTGCATATCTTTATTGTTGTTAAGACAGTAAGATAGATGTTTTTTGAATCTATAGGTTCTCCTTTTTGTTGGATAACACTTCTTTCTTCTTCAGAGTAGATATTCTTGTAGATATCTATAAGACTTTAACATTTTTCTTGACTTTGATTTTTTTCCTTTTTTAGGAAAAACAAAGACACAACAGACTTCATCTTTAGGTTTCCTCAAGATTTAAGTGAACACATAGCCATTAGTTTATATGTACCAGTTTCTTAAAAAAACACACACATAAAATGCTTGTTTTCCCTCTAGCCTAACTATTTAAAGCCAATTAAACTATAAAATACTTAGAAAATTATTTATTCTTAATGTAACTATATGTTCCAGGACAAATCTAAACTGACGTAGTTGTATACACACAATGTAATTTAATGCTAGTCTAAGAATGCTTGTAGCTTGAGAGAAAGGCACAGATTTTGTTAAACAATCTTCATACTGTAGATTTTTTCCTCCTACTGACTGTGATTTTTGGCCACTTGAGTCTTTTTGTTGATATTGGCAGAATGTTGAAATCTTTGGATATTTAGGAAATTAAGATTACAGATTGCGTTGGGCCCCTTCAAACAGTATATTGCATTATAGTTCACTTTAGCAATAGATTTGGTGGTTGGTTTGGTGGAGGGATAGAAGTATACAGAAGGTAATTTTAAAAATAATTCACTATGGATCATTTTTTCCTAATCTGCATAAATGAATTTGAACTGACTTTAATAAAAATATTTTGAAAGTACATAGAAAAACATCTGAAGCAGTTGTTGGAGAAGAGGGAAACATGTATAAATTTAGTTGGATTGTGTTTTACTCTTTGGTGTATGAATTTATGGCAAACAATGCAGCTTGTGGCTTTTCATTTCTTTATAGAGCTATGTAGAAAATACTATTTTTCATATTAGAAATCCTGTACTTGAAAGAAGCCTCAATTATAAGTGGCTTCATGAAGCAAAGTTAAAAACAAACATAGAAAATGTGAAAATATTTGTGTTTGTTTGTCTGACTAGCTTGCTGTTAATTATGTTCTCTTTAAGTGTGTGAATGTTCTTTTATACTTTATAGCCACCTTACATTTTGTTAAATAGCCATTGCTTTTAAGATGGATGGTATGGTGCGTAGAGGTTAGTTAACTGTATCTACATTTTTCAAAGTTTTATATTAACTATTATAAGAAGTTACAAGGCCGGGCGCGATGGCCCACGCCTGTAATCCCAGCATTTTGGGAGGCCGACGCAGGTGGATCACGAGGTCAGGACATCGAGACCATCCTGGCTAACACAGTGAAACCCCGTCTCTACTAAAAATACAAAAAATTAGCCAGGCGTGGTGGCGTGCGCCTATAATCCCAGCTACTCAGGAGGCTGAGGCAGGAGAATCACTTGAACCCAGGAGGCAGAGGTTGCAGTGAGCCGAGATCAAGCCACTGTACTCCAGCCTGGGCAACAGAGCGAGACTCTGTCTCAAAAAAAAAAAAAAGAAGGAAAAAAAAAAGTTACAGTAGTGCCATTTTGATTAGTCTGAATGTTTTCAGGCCTTGAAATAAATTTTGACTAAGTAATTTTTTTTTTCAGAGCAGGAGTGGAAGTTTATTTTAAAAGCTTTAGGCCAGTAAGGAAAAAAAGGAAAGGAAAGAAGGAAAATGCAACTTGGAAGAGGGCCAAGCAGGCGACTCGAGAAACCAAGTGCACAGCTTAACATCTTGACTTGGGGTTTTATTTGTTGGCATACTTCCAGGATCTTATTGGGAAGCTGCTGATCAGTTTCAGGTGTTTTCTATCTATTAGGAGCCTACCTTTCCCTGGCACCAGCTGTGACTAATTATTACTTTAAACAAACTGTTAACAACCGCCTGGCCATCACCTGATGGTTGCCCAACATTTCTGGTGTGTGTGTGGTAGGGAGCCCTCTCCTGCCCTGCTCATACCTGACTAGCTACCTACTGTAACATTTACCCCTGCCTTAAGAGTCCAAGACCCCAAATCTTTGGTGGAAAGTGGATGAAGGTCAGTCTTCTGTAACTGTTTCCTGCTGACAGAGGGGCGGTGGTGGTTCTGTGAGTCTTAGCCTCTCACTGTCTAGGCTGAGTTGGCTCCATGAGTTGCTGAAAGTGGTATCGAACCAGGTCCAAAGAAGACAGAAGCAGGATTTTGCCTCTGTCATATCCCACAATGGGCAGTCTAGAGGCCCCTGTAGAAGGTGATTATTGAATATTGAGAGGATGGTGTCCCTTATTGAGGATGATCTGGAGCTTAATGGCCTTACTTTGAGGTGAAAAGGCATTACTTATCTTTCTGCTTAAAAAGGAACCTCAGATCCTCCAGGGACTCGCAAGCGTGTTCGGGAGCTGAGGGCATTGTTTCCAGCTCTGGTGTCTCGGAGCCTTTCCACAGCTTCACTCAGGTGTGATGTATCCAGCTGGCAATCTCTGAGACTAAGTAATTTTTTTAAATGTTCCTTCTAAGTCTTTTTTTTTCTTTAACAACTCTATTCTTACAATTTCTTAAAATTGTGAACAACTAACCACACTACAAAGTTGGTGGACATAGATACTCACATTATAATCAAAGTAAACTTACCCAGCTGTTAATAAAACTTGCAAAATCATATGAAGCATATAGTCGTGACTTGCTTCCTGGTAATTAATCATGGTGGCCATAAGTAAGTCCAGCCATTGCCTTCCCATTTCCCAGGCTACAGGCTCAATAAGGGCTTTTCAAATTCCTGGATATTAGCTGGGCCATCTGGCTTTGTTTTGGCCGAGTAGCATCCAACTCCTCTTTCCTATTGGAGGGAAATCTCCTATTATATAGTCTTGGTGGGTGGCCATTTTGGAGACTAAAAAGGCCAAGTCTTCCTTCTCTCTGCACTCAGCTATCCAGGTCATAGGCCTGAACCCCAGCCTGAGCCAATACTATATTGCTGCCAAGACTTCAATCTTGAACAAGTGACACATAGCCCAGAAGCAGTAGAATTCTTCTGCCGTGATGAGGAATCCACACCAGGCCACTCCGGCTAAAAGGCATGTATTGTGCTTCCTGGTTTTTTTCTGGGCTGTTTCCTCCAGACTCACACCACACATTTCTTCCAATAAATGTCCTTCCTGGTTACAACCACCAGATAGTCTTGGTTTCTTGCTCCTGAACGCGTTCCCCCTGATTGTGGCAGGCACTGTTGGTCACCCAGTGGCTGCTCCCCTTCCCTTTATTGCTAATAGAACCCCAAGTTTTTATTTCTTCATATCTCTACCTGGCCCAAGTATAGGGACCATGACTGGTCAGTCCTATCCCCTTGTTCAGCGACAGGTCTAAGGTTAGGCCTGTGACCCAGCTCTAGCCAAAGAGACCTGAGGGGAAATGCTGGAAGCTTCTGGGAAAGGCTTTCCTCACTCATTGTGTCCCTGGCCCCTTTCTTCCTGCTTGAGAAGCCACCACATGAGAAGAAAAGCTTGGAGCCACTGCAGCCATCTTGCCACCATGAGGGAAGGCAGCAGCAGCCCTAAAGAAAGCAGAGGGAGCCTGGGTCCTTGATCTCTCGGAGCCACCACAATGACCCTGGAATCACCTCCCTCTGAACTGCAGGTTTTCTCTGATGAATCAACCCTCGTCATTTAGTTCTCTTATACTAAGTGCTTTGTTATTTGCAGCCAAAACATTCTGATAAACTGATTCTCTGAGTTTCACTATTTTCTAAAATAATCATCTGTTGTTGGAGCTGGAAGAGATCTGGGAGAACTTTGAGTTTCTTTGTAATAGAAGAATCTGAGTTGGATATGGAGGCAGAAGCAGAGGGAGAACCCAGGCCTCCTGAGTCTTATCCTGTGATAAGCCTTTTCCTATGGTGGTCTCCCCAGCACCCTGAGGAGGTGCCCAGGACATTTCACAGGGAGCCATGGGGATAGAGCCTGGATTCTGGCATCTGAGAATCATGGGCAAAGGGGCAAATAAGAAGGGGCAGAGTGAGCCTCTGCTGGGCCTGGGCAAGGCTGTGGACTGAGACACATAAGATGCCAGAGCTGTGTTCCTAGCTCTTTCTGTTGGAGCTCCTGTTGTATCCATGAGTGTGTGCATGTGTGTGTGCACATGGGCGCACACAAACCTTTGCCCTGGGTTCCACTTTTCAGCCTCCCTCAGTCTCTAGGATCTCCTGCTTCCCCACCAGCCTGGCAGCAATGTCCTCTTCCTCTCATGGATGAGTACTTTTTGCAGTTTCTGGCTGGTTTCATGCCCTTTACTTTTTTCTTTTTTCTCTTTTTTTCCACCTTTTAGAGCTTTATTTAGAAAGTGTATATGTAAGGAAGTAAAGCCATTTCCATTTACAGTTTACAAACTAGAACCAGTTTGCCTTGGAAGCCCAGTCTGGGTAACCAGCCATGTCCAGGCTGGCACAGAGGAAATCAGCACTCTTCCTGTACACCTGTAGTCAGCAGGTGAGATGAACAGGGCTGAACAGCTCTTTAGTGTCAATTTTCATCACTGTGAAATCACCACTGTATAAATTTCACCACTGTATAAATCTACATTTATAGAGGGTGAAATGGGAACTGCTTTGAAAACAGTAATTGTGAGTGTATTCAAAACCAACCATAATGGAAAAAAATACAAGTGCATCAAATAAAGCCACAGTATTGTTTCTGAATACCATTTGGATAGAACGCATAAGAACGTATTACCACATACACACACGTGTGTGTGCACATGTGCAAAAACTGAAAACCATGTTGCCCAGCCCAGAGTATTTGCACTTTATATGCAGGTGTATAAAAAATATATTGGGCACCTACCAGATGCTCACGTCCTATAGATTAGCAGTTGTTCCCCCAAATCCAATGTAATTCAAGAATTCTCATTTTCAGGAGAAACATTAATTTGGGTAAACCAAGGATTTTTACAGTAAAGATCTATAACGACTTTCAACTGAATTATCCCTTAAGTACATTTGTGTACATGCATATGTAGAAATACATTTACCTTACAATAGGACATAGTATTTTTATTTTTTAAAATGCAGTTTTTTTTAAAAGAAAATTTGCAGAATTTACTACACTAAACCCTTCACTTTTTTCATGCCACTGTACAATTTTTCCTACAGCTGTGCCTGGACCAAAGAGAGCTCAAAGAAAGGCTAAGAATTCACTTCTGGGACTTGGAAAGCTTCAAAAGAGTGAACCAGAACTAGGGGGAACATTGATCCTGGATGCAGCTGGCTGGCAGAGGTGCTGGTGTGCTGTTTCTTCAGAGGTTTCAGGAAGGCCCCCCCATCCCAAAATCACCCTTCCTTCACCTGGGAAGTCAATGCCTGAGACTCCACCATTACAGATACAATGCAAACCTTCCTGGGAGACAAAACTCCTCATATACACCTTAAAGTGAGTTTTTATGATCTTTTCAAGAGGGTCAATGTTGAGAAGAATCCAAGTGGAGAAAGGATGAGGTTGGTTGAGGGTAGCACCAAAAGATTCTCTTTTTCACTCAGAATAGGCGCTGCAAGTCTGTCCTGCTGGTGATGCACATACTGGAGAACAAGAGGGTGGTGGAGAAAATTATGTAAACTTCCAGGGAGAAAATCTGGGCAAGGGGAAGGGCATGGAGGTGGGTGGTCAGGTATATCGGGGCATATTGTGGAGAGAAGTGTAAGAAGTATGTGGTTACTTTGGTAGTGGACACTAGAGAGACACTGAAGGTTCTTGAGGAGGAGAGTGACATAATCCAAAAGTCAAATCTGATGGCTATGTGGAGAGGATTGAATGGAGAGACTGGCATCAGGGACTCCAGGGAAGACATAATGAAGGGCTGAACATGGCCATAAAGGAATAGGTAGAAAGGTCACAAGAAAGGCACAAAGTAGAATCCAGGTGACCTTGTCCCCAAAGACATGTAGGAAGAATGCTGATTTCTTTAAAGGGAACTAGAAAGTGAGGCCAGAAAACTGGTTTATAGTGAAGAAATACCGAGTTTAAGGTACTTGTAGGTCATCCAAGTGGAGATAATATTATTGTCATTAGTATTGGCTGACAAACATTAAGAGATTACTCTCTACCAGGCACCATGCTAAGCCCTTCACATGCATTATCTCATTTAATTCTCATAACATCCCAAAGGGTAGATATTGTTATCCCCATCTTACAGATGAGGACACTACAGCTCCAAGAGGTTAGCTACTTGCCCAAGTTCCCACAGCTAGTAAGAACCCACGCCCCTGGCTCCAAAGCTCCTAACCACCATGAGGCTCTGGTGCTTGGGGAAGAGGTCAGAAGCTGGTCTGTGGCCACAGAGATGACAAGGAAGATCTTAAGAATGTATGGGACCTCCCTAATGAAATTCGAAAAGGAAGAGAAGAGAACGAATCTTTATGGCATATCATTAGACAAGTCGCTGAACTGTCACCATCTGTCAACTAACCTTGAATGAGACCTCTAAGAGCAATTTCCCTATTCCCCAGGATTTAAATGGGGTTTGGAGTTGGCATTGACAACCCACTAACAACAGCTCACAAGCTCACTAGCAGAGTAACCCGCAACTCAGCGTGAAGGAGGCTGTTTGCTCCTTCCACCCTCTAATGAAGACAACTTGTTTTTCTAAGTAGGACTTCTTTTCTGGTTGTAAGTCTTGGGACAGAACTTCGAAGCAAAATCTGGATGCAGAGGTGGAGTGGGATAGGAGGGAGCAGGTTTAGGGGTCACTGCACTTTTCAGCTATTCCTTGGGAGCTTCAGACATAGTCTGGAGGGTAGGGGAGACATTGATGAGATGAGAGAGTAGAGGATGGCCTGCAGAGGGAGGGAGGTGGAGGAGACAGAGGGACAGGGCATGAGGGCTCGAGGGAGCAGGGCCTTGGAAGCATTCGCCCTCTCTCTGTGCTCACTTTTATCCACCAATTCCCCACTCTGTGCCTCTTCACTCTTTTTTCATCTTCTAAAAGAAAAGAAATTCAAGGGAACACTTACACTGAAGCCAAATTCGTTTCCTTCCCCTCCAAGCCAGGTGTCAGTGGTACCCCCCTCTCTTGGTCCCCCAGCATGATGGCTCCTCCTTCCTCATCCTGTATCCCTTCAGGAGCCACATCCAGCCCAATTAACTTCAGAAACTTCTCCTTCATCAGGCTTCCCTGGACCCCATGAGGTGAACCTTGAGAACTAGGAGAAAAGCTCCTACTCCCCTACCCCCAACCCCTCTTATGGCCTGGTGAGGAGAGGTGGGATGGGTGGGGTATAATCCCCTCTCAGCCTCCCCGTCAAGTCTGTGTTCCACACTCCAGGCCCCAGAGTCCAGCACACTTTGGGTTCCTGACACATGTTTGTGGAATGAATGAATAAATAAGTGAATGAGTGAATGAATGGGAGAATGGACATGCAACAAAGGATGCCAGAGCAGAGGCTGCTGAGTGGAGGAGGCTTCGGTGAGTCACAGCGCTCTCCATGCCTCCAGGGCAAAGCTGTGAAAACCATTAGCTGCAATTCAAGCCCAGCAGGCACAGAGCAAGCTTCAGTCACCCTGGCTGCAGAGTTCACACCCTGAGCGCCCATCCCCAGACCAGCAGCCTTGCCTCCTACACCCAACTACCCCAGTGAGATCTGGTCTCAGGCCGGCCTCATTGTCCACACAGGCCAAGGGTATGGGGTGGAAGCTCTCAGCAGGCAAGGGCTTTGGCTTACTCACCTGTGTACCCCCATGGACAGGCTCACAGTAGGTGCTTAGTAAATACCAAATTAAGGAAAATAGAGTTATTTGGTGTTTGTTCTGGTCTGAATGTTTGTGGCCCCCACCCCTCCCAAAAAACTCAGATGTTGAGATCCTAACCCCAACATGATGGTACTAGGAGATGGGGCTTTATCGAGGTGATTACCTCCCAATCATAGGCCATTGGGAGGTGATTATGGTGGAGCACTCTTGAATGGAATTAGTGTCCTTATAAAAGAGGCCCAAGAGGGACCTGTCACCCTTTCTACCATGCGAGGACACAGGCAGAAGGCAGGCCTCACTCAACACTGAATCTGTCAGCACCTTGACTGTGGGCTTCCCAGCCTCTAGAATAGTGAGGAATAAATTTCGATTGTGTGTAAGCCACCCACTCTATGGTACTTCATTATAGCAGCCTGCATGGACTAAGACACTGCTCGTTAGGTGCCAGCAACTTTAACATGCAGATGTCACACAAACCAAACAGTAGTTTTGAAAGGCGAGTCATCCTGTGCCTATTTTTGCTGATGAGGAAACCAAGACAAAGAAGTTAAGAGACTTCCTAATGACCACAAAGTATTCTGGTAGCAGAGACCTGGCATTGGTTCAAATCAGGTCGTTTTGCTCTTAAGGCCATGTTCGTTCCACCAAACATAAAAACCCAAACCATCTGGGTTCTGGAGGAGGAAACTGGAAGAGAAAATCCTGGCGTCCCAGAGCCCACCCAGGTTTAGTGGGCTTCCCTTCCTTCACCCCACTTAGGAGAGGCAAAGGAGGCACTGAGTAGGGAAGGATGGCAGCTCCTCCCATGTCTCCAGGTGGCTTGCTACTGAGGCCTCTCAGATGTCCAGGATGGGGGAGAAGGGGACTATTCCTGAGACCTAGAGGGCTTGGATAAGGACTATTCCTGAGACCTGGAGGGCCTGGATAGGGACTGATAAGACCTAGAGGGCCTGGATAAGGTGAGCCTCTAGTCTACCCCAGGCCCTGATGGCCTCATCCTTCTGCTGGGAGCCATGTTCTGAAAGTACAGTGGATGAGAAGAGAGAGCGAGTGAGCCTGGCAAGGATAAACCAGTCCACACTTGACCCCAAAGCAGTGTGAGCTGGGAGTGAGCTTGGCCAGGAAAGTCAGTCAAGATGGAAGCCCTTAGAAGACAGCTCCTGAGACAGATTGACATCAGACCAGCCGGCCTCCACGAGCATGCTGAGGTGTCTGAGACGCACTCCAAAGGGCGCAGCCGGGTCAGCAAATTCCAACTGAGGCTGTGCTCTGCCTTCCAGAGCTTTGTGCCTGTAAGCAAGTCACTCACCTCTTAATGGAGATCATGATATACTTCACAAGATTGTTATGAGCATCGAAAGAGATGGGGCATTTGAGTGAATCCCTAACCAACAAAATATATGGAAGAAATAGAAAAAGGTATTCAACTAACATTTGTTAAATTGAACTGTTCTTATGTCTAGCTAGATGTGGGGTTTCATAGTTTTACTTGACTGGATTTGGGTTGTATTTCCCCATATATCCTCATTTTCCCTTTTGATTTGTAAGTGGGTGGGTGGGGAATGACAACAAAAATTCATTGCAGATGGAGCCAAGATGGCCGAATAGGAACAGCTCCAGTCTACAGCTCCCAGCGTGAGTGAGGCAGAAGACGGGTGATTTCTGCATTTCCAACTGAGGTACCGGGTTCATCTCACAGGGGAGTGTCGGAAAGTGGGTGCAGGACAGTGGGTGCAGCACACCGAGTGTGAGCTGAAGCAGGGCGAGGCATTGCCTCACCTGGGAAGCGCAAGGGGTCAGGGAATTCCCTTTCCTAGTCAAAAAAAGGGGTGACAGACAGCACCTGGAAAATCGGGTCACTCCCACCCTAATACTGCACTTTTCCAACGGTCTTAGCAAATGGCACACCAGATTATATCCCTCACCTGGCTCGGAGTGTCCTATGCCCACAGAGCCTCGCTCACTGCTAGCACAGCAGTCTGAGATCAAACTGCAAGGCGGCAGTGAGGCTGGGGGAGGGGCTCCCGCCATTGCTGAGGCTTGAGTAGGTAAACAAAGCAGCTGGGAAGCTCGAACTGGGCAGAGCCCACTGCAGCTGAAGGAGGCCTGCCTGCCTGCCTCTGTAGACTCCACCTCTGGGGGCAGGGCATTGCCAAACAAAAGGCAGCAGAATCCTCTGCAGACTTAAATGTCCCTGTCTGACAGCTTTGAAGAGAGTAGTGGTTCTCCCAGCACACAGCTGGAGGTCTGAGAACGGACAGACTGCCTCCTCAAGTGGGTCCCTGATCCCCGAACAGCCTAACTGGGAGGCACCCCCCAGTAGGGGCAGACTGACACCTCACACAGTCGGGTACTCCTCTGAGACAAAACTTCCAGAGGAACGATCAGGCAGCAACATTTGCTGTCCACCAATATCCGTTGTTCTGCAGCCTCCGCTGCTGATACCCAGGCAAACAGGGTCTGGAGTGGACCTCCAGCAAACTCCAACAGACCTGAAGCTGAGGTTCTTGACTGTTAGAAGGAAAACTAACAAACAGAAAGGACATCGACACCAAAACCCCATCTGTACGTCACCATCATCAAAGACCAAAGGTAGATAAAACCACAAAGATGGGGAAAAAACAGAGCAGAAAAACTGGAAACTCTAAAAATCAGAGTGCCTTTCCTCCTCCAAAGGAATGCAGCTCCTCACCAGCAACGGAACAAAGCTGGACAGAGAATGACTTTGATGAGTTGAGAGAAGGCTTCAGACGATCAAACTACTCTGAGCTAAAGGAATAAGTTCGAACCCAACGCAAAGAAGTTAAAAACCTTGAAAAAAAATTAGACGAATGGCTAACTAGAATAACCAATGCAGAGAAGTCCTTAAAGGACCTGATGGAGCTGAAAACCATGGCACGAGAACTACATGATGAATGCACAAGCCTCAGTAGCCGATTCGATCAACTGGAAGAAAGGGTATCAGTGATGGAAGATCAAATGAATGAAATGAAGTGAGAAGAGAAGTTTAGAGAAAAAAGAATAAAAAGAAATAAACAAAGCGTCCAAGAAATATGGGACTATATGAAAAGACCAAATGTACGTCTGATTGGCATACCTGAAAGTGATGGGGAGAATGGAACCAAGTTGGAAAACACTCTGCGGGATATTATACAGGAGAACTTCCCCAATCTAGCAAGGCAGGCCAACATTCAAATTCAGGAAATACAGAGAATGCCACAAAGATACTCCTCAAGAAGAGCAACTCCAAGACACATAATTGTCAGATTCACCAAAGTTGAAATAGAGGAAAAAATGTTAAGGGCAGCCAGAGAGAAAGGTCGGGTTACCCACAAAGGGAAGCCCATCAGACTAATAGCTAATCTCTTGGCAGAAACTCTACAAGCCAGAAGAGAGTGGGGGCCACTATTCAACATCCTTAAAGAAAAGAATTTTCACCCCAGAATTTCACATCCAGCCAAATTAAGCTTCATAAGTGAAGGAGAAATAAAACACTTTACAGACAAGCAAATGCTGAGAGATTGTCACCGCCAGGCCTGCCCTAAAAGAGCTCCTGAAGGACGCATTAAACATGGAAAGGAACAACCAGTACCAGCCACTGCAAAAACATGCCAAATTGTAAAGACCATCGAGGCTAGGAAGAAACTGCGTCAACTAACGAGCAAAATAGCCAGCTACCATCATAATGACAGGATCAAATCCACACATAACAATACTAACCTTAAATGTAAATGGGCTAAATGCTCCAATTAAAAGACACAGACTGGCAAATTGGATAAAGAGTCAAGACCCATCAGTGTGCTGTATTCAGGAATGCTGTATTCAGATGCTGCACCCATCTCACGTGTAGAGACACACATAGGCTCAAAATAAGGGGATGGAGGAAGATCTACCAAGCAAATGGAAAACAAAAAAAGGCAGGTGTTGCAATCCTAGTCTCTGATAAAACAGACTTTAAACCAACAAAGATCAAAAGAGACAAAGAAGGCCATTACATAATGGTAAAGGGATCAATTCAACAAGAAGAGCTAACTATCCTAAATATATATGCACCCAATACAGGAGCACCCAGATTCATAAAGCAAGTCCTTAGTGACCTACAAAGAGACTTAGACTTAGACTCCCACACAATAATAACGGGAGACTTTAACACCCCACTGTCAACATTAGACAGATCAACGAGACAGAAAGTTAACAAGGATATCCAGGAATTGAACTCAGCTCTGCACCAAGCAGACCTAATAGACATCTACAGAACTCTCCACCCCAAATCAACAGAATATACATTCTTCTCAGCACCACACCACACTTATTCCAAAATTGACCACATAGTTGGAAGTAAAGCACTCCTCAGCAAATGTAAAAGAACAGAAATTATAACAAATTGTCTCTCAGACCACAGTGCAATCAAACTAGAACTCAGGATTAAGAAACTCACTCAAAACCGCCCAACTACATGGAAACTGAACAACCTGCTCCTGAATGACTACTGGGTACATAATGAAATGAAGGAAGAAATAAAGATGTTCTTTGAAACCAATGAGAACAAAGACACAGCATACCAGAATCTCTGGGACACATTCAAAGCAGTGTGTAGAGGGAAATTTATAGCACTAAATGCCCACAAGAGAAAGCAGGAAAGATCTAAAATTGACATCCTAACATCACAATTAAAATAACTAGAGAAGCAACAGCAAACACATTCAAAAGCTAGCAGAAGGCAAGAAATAACTAAGATCAGAGCAGAACTGAAGGAAATAGAGACACAAAAAAACCCTTCAAAAAATCAATGAATCCAGGAGCTGGTTTTTTGAAAAGATCAACAAAATTGATAGACTGCTAGCAAGATTAATGAAGAAGAAAAGAGAGAAGAATCAAATAGACTCAATAAAAAATGATGAAGGGGATATCACCACCGATCTCACAGAAATACAAACTACCATCAGAGAATACTATAAACACCTCTACGCAAATAAACTAGAAAATCTAGAAGAAATGGATAAATTCCTCAACACATACACCCTCCCAAGACTAAACCAGGAAGAACTTGAATCTCTGAATAGACCAATAACAGACTCTGAAATTGAGGCAATAATTAATAGCTTACCAACCAAAAAAAGTCCAGGACCAGATGGATTCACAGCTGAATTCTACCAGAGGTACAAGGAGGAGCTGGTACCATTCCTTCTGAAACTATTCCAATCAATAGAAAAAGAGGGAATCCTCCCTAACTCATTTTATGAGGCCAGCATCATCCTGATACCAAAGCCTGGCAGAGACACAACAACAAAAGAGAATTTTAGACCAATATCCCTGATGAACATCGATGCAAAAATCCTCAGTAAAACACTGGCAAACCGAATCCAGCAACACATCAAAAACTTATCCACCATGATCAAGTGGGCTTCATCCCTGGGATGCAAGGCTGGTTCAACATATGCAAATCAATAAACATAATCCAGCATATAAACAGAACCAATGACAAAAACCATATGAGTATCTCAATAGATGCAGAAAAGGCCTTTGACAAAATTCAACAACCCTTCATGCTAAAAACTCTCAATAAATTAGGTATTGATGGGACGTATCTCAAAACAATAAGAGCTATCTATGACAGACCCACAGCCAATATCATACTGAATGGGCAAAAACTGGAAGGATTCCCTTTGAAAACTGGCACAAGAGAGGGATGCCCTCTCTCACCACTCCTATTCAACATAGTGTTGGAAGTTCTGGCCAGGGCAATCAGGCAGGAGAAGGAAATAAAGGGTATTCAATGAGGAAAAGAGGAAGTCAAATTGTCCCTGTTTGCAGATGACATGATTGTATATCTGGAAAACCCTATTGTCTCAGCCCAAAATCTCCTTAATCTGATAGGCAACTTCAGCAACGTCTCAGGATACAAAATCAATGTGCAAAAATCACAAGCATTCTTATACACCAAAAACAGACAAACAGAGAGCCAAATCATGAGTGAATTCCCATTCACAACTGCTTCAAAGAGAATAAAATATCTAGGAATCCAACTTACAAGGGATGTGAAGGACCTCTTTAAGGAGAACTACAAACCACTCCTCAATGAAATAAAAAAGGATACAAACAAATGGAAGAACATTCCATGCTCATCAGTAGGAAGAATCAATATCATGAAAATGGCCATACTGCCCAAGGTAATTTATAGATTCAATGCCATCCCCATCAAGCTACCAATGACTTTCTTCACAGAATTGGAAAAAACTACTTTAAAGTTCATATGGAACCAAAAAAAAGCCCGCATTGCCAAGTCAATCCTAAGCCAAAAGAACAAAGCTGGAGACATCACGCTACCTGACTTCAAACTATACTACAAGGCTACAGTAACCAAAACAGCATGGTACTGGTACCAAAACAGAGATATAGATCAATGGAACAGAACAGAGCCCTCAGAAATAATGCTGCATATCTACAACCATCTGATCTTTGACAAACCTGACAAAAACAAGAAACGGGGAAACGATTCCCTATTTAACAAATGATGCTGGCAAAACTGGCTAGCCATATATAGAAAGCTGAAACTGGATCCCTTCCTTATACCTTATACAAAAATTAATTCAAGATGGATTAAAGACTTAAATGTTAGACCTAAAACCGTAAAAACCCTAGAAGAAAACCTAGGCAATACCATTCAGGACATAGGCGTGGGCAAAGACTTCATGTCTAAAACACCAAAAGCAATAGCAACAAAAGCCAAAATTGACAAATGGGATCTAATTAAACTAAAGAGCTTCTGCACAGCAAAAGAAACTACCATCAGAGTGAACAGGCAACCTACAGAATGGGAGAAAATTTTTGCAATCTACTCATCTGACAAAGGGCGAATATCCAGAATCTACAACGAACTCACACAAATTTACAAGAAAAAAACAACCCCATCAAAAAGTGGGTGAAGGATATGAATAGACACTTCTCAAAAGAAGACATTTATGCAGCCAACAGACACATGAAAAAATGCTCATCATCACTGGCCATCAGAGAAATGCAAATCAAAACCACAGTGAGATACCATCTCACACCAGTTAGAATGGCGATCATTAAAAAGTCAGGAAACAACAGGTGCTGGAGAGGATGTGGAGAAATAGGAACACTTACACTGTTGGTGGGACTGTAAACTAGTTCAACCATCGTGGAAGTCAGTGTGGCAATTCCTCAGGGATCTAGAACTAGAAATACCATTTGACCCAGCCATCCCATTACTGGGTATATACCCAAAGGATTATAAATCATGCTGCTATAAAGACACATGCACACGTATGTTTATTGCGGCACTATTCACAATAGCAAAGACTTGGAACCAACCCAAATGTCCAACAATAACAGAATGGATTAAGAAAATGTGGCACATATACACCATGGAATACTATGCAGCCATAAAAAAATGATGAGTTCATGTCCTTTGTAGGGACATGGATGAAGCTGGAAACCATCATTCTCAGCAAACTATCGCAAGGACAAAAAACCAAACACCGCATGTTCTCACTCATAGGTGGGAATTGAACAATGAGAACACGTGGACACAGGAAGGGGAACATCACACACTGGGGCCTATTGTGGGGTGGGGGGAGGGGGGAGGGATAGCATTTGGAGATATACCTAATGTTAAATGATGAGTTACTGGGTGCAACAAACCAACATGGCACATGTATACATATGTAACAAACCTGCACGTTGTGCACGTGTACCCTAAAACTTAAAGTATAATAAAAAAATTCATTGCAGATCTAGTATGTGCCAGATTAGTCCTTCTCAAAGCCTGGTTCCTGGACAGATTGCACCAACATCCCCCGAGATGCAAATTAGAAGTGCAAATAAATTATTGAGCCACACCACGGTCCTACAGCTTGAGAAACTTGAGGTGGGGCCCAGCAACTCATATTTTAATAAATCCTCAGGTGATGCTGATGCACACTAAAACCACCGTGCTAAGTGTTTTACATTAATAATCTCATTCAATTCCATACAAGCCTAAAGAGGTGGGAAGTATAATAATATCCCTGATTTACAGATGACAAACATGGGGTTTGGAGAGGTTAGTGGCCTGCTCCAGGTCCTCACCTGGTAAGGGAGCCCCAGGTCTGTGTAACCCACACCACTGCCCTCTCCCCTCACTACCTTGATGCCTCCCAGAAGTGAGATGCTTTTGTTCCAAGAGGGCTTCCTGTAGGCAGATGTGGGAGCAGGAGTCACTGGTGACACTGGAGCATTCTCCTGGGCTGATGGGTAGAATAGACAGCTATTTTTACTAGGTTTGCAAGACCAGCTGGATTGTTATCATCTATGAAACTAGGCAAACATCTAGCACTAGGACTGTCCCATTCTCGGGCTGGAGCTAAGAAGACATCGCTACTAGTTTGCAATATTCCCAGGGCACCTACCATCTGCTAAGCATGAGCTTCCGCAACATTGAGACCTGTTGTAACCACTGACAATGATGTCGCCTTCAAGGATGGATTAAGTTCCTACTACTTGAAGGCACTGTGCTAGAGGCTTTACAATATATTCTTCTCCTGGTGTTATTATGCCCTTTAACAGATAAAACCGTTGAGGCTCAGAGAGACGCGGGGACAACAGCTCTTACGCAACGGGGCAGGGTTCTGGCCTGCATACTCTAAGGATGATTTCTTCCATTATGCTATCGTTTGAGAAGACAGGAGGGAGTAGGGGAGAACGGTGGGGGCTCCCAGCAAAAGGACAAGACCCTCAGGGCCTGGGGTAGAACTGGAAGCCCACTCTTGACAATCAGTCCTTACCCAGGAGCACAGAGTCAGGGAAATCTGGTCCCAGCACCCATGCCCCCTTCCCCTCCTGGCTCCCTGACGCAGGAGAAAGCCCCCTGGGACTCACTGCGGGCCGGCGGGCACCTGTCACTGATGGGAAGAGCTCCTGTTTCCTTGCCTTGTGCCAAGAGGGCCCAAGGCAGACCTGCCAGCAGCCACGAGATGGCGCTGCGATCCAGGCGACTCCGGGCCCTGCAGCCACCCTCCCCGAGGCTGCCCCGCGGAGGACCCAAGCGGTCGTGGAGGACGCTCTCCCACTCCCCAGCTTCCCTCTTCCCTCCCTCCTCCTTCCTCGCCCCCTGGCCCTGCGAAGAGTGGAGGCCGCATCAGGGAGCCCTAGGCCCAAGGGCGGGCTAGGACTCCCCAGTGACTCCCAGGCAGCCCGGGGACAGCTGCTTCTCCCCTCCCCTGCCCTCCCTTCCTCTTTCCCTGGGCTCCTCCCCAGCCGGGCCAGCCAGTCCTGGGCCACTGCGCTCCCACAGCACAACTGAAGCAGGATCGCAACTCGCAGACTTAACGACTGCACAACTAAACATCAAAAATGAACTCTTCGTTAGAAGACATCCCTCTGCTTGAAAACGTAGCCGTCGAAGTTCCCTCTATGTGTCAAAAATAAGTTATGCGTAGGAGCCAGAGTCCCGTGCCTGGTGTCACCTCTCTTTCCCAAAATCCTCTCCCATCAAGAAAACCATGCATGTGCGTGGGTCCGCGCGCGCGCACTTGGAGAGGTAGAATTTTGAGTTGAAAATCTGAATCTACCATGAAAAATTGTGTGACACCAAGCAAGTGTTTTAAGACTCTTTGAGCCTCAATTTTCTCATCCATAAAGTGGAAATAATACCAGTAATCACTTCATGGGCTGTTGGAAAAATTAAATACATCTAAACCATTTACAGGTGCTTTAACACATAGTAAGTACTCAGTAAATATTATTTCTTTTCCTCTGACACTTATGGTGTGTGTCCATCATTTGGCATTCAATGCAGGCAGCCTTGCGTTTTTGGCTAATTTCTCCTATAGGACATCCCACCCCCAAGGGCCGTGTCTTGCATATCTGTATGTTCAGGAGCACCCAGCACAGACTCTCGCCTGGTGCATAGTAATTAGAGTGGGCCATAGTGACCACCAAAAACCACCGCCTCTGGCTTCAATTCTGCCTCCCTCCTGTCTTCTCTCAGGTGCTGGCTTCATGCACAACCCTGCTAGCGCAGCTACCTAGTGTCCTCTCCTCCACTTCTCTGCTTTGGGGCGGGTGGTGCCCAGCTTTCAGTGGTGAGACCTGTAGCCTTTTGCTCTCTGCTAGGCCAGGGAGCCCCTTCTGAGAGGGTAAGGGGGGCCAGGGTGGAAGGGGCATGGTTCTTGTTTTGTGTCCTGGAGAGAGTGTGCTCCATATAAAGCCTGCTTGAGCAGAGGAGAAGAAGCCGGCCCCGGCACCTTAGCCTTGACCCAGGTTCGTATGGTGTGGAGCCCTTGCTTCTGCTGTGATCGGGCCCAAAAGGTTAACAAGTCAGTTTGTAGAGGTCTGTGTCTGGGAGTTCTTTGGGGTTTTTATTTGTGTCTTTCCTGACTTTTCTATCTCTGAGAGTCAAGTCTTTCTTCCACATCTCTGTCTTGCACTGCAGTTCCCCAGTGCGCAATCATTCCATGTGTGTTGACGGACTGCAGGGCACATTGGCTCTGAAGGCTTTACCAAGCTGGCTCTCAGTCATATATATATTTTTTTAATTTTTGAGACAGGGTCTCACTCTGTTGCCCAGGCTGGAGTGCAGTGGCACAATCATGGCTCATAGCAGGCTCGAACTCTGGGGTTCAAGCGATCCTCCCACCTCAGTCTTCTGAGTAGTTGGGACTACAGGTGCCTGCCACCACACCTGGCTAATTTTTATTTTATATTTTAGAGATGGGGATCTCATCATGTTGCCTGGAGCTGATCTCAAACTCCTGTGCTCAATCAATCCTCCCTCCTAGGCCTCCCAAAGCGCTGGGATTGCAGGAGTGAGCCAACAAACCTGGCCTCAATCAGGTCTTTAACCGTCCAATTTATTCAATTCTGCCAGAGGGCCCCCTGCTGAAGCTGTTCACAGATTGCTCTGATATCATTAAAAAGCTAACCACATATGCAAATGAAGTGTTGGAGGTGTGAGGGTGGCTTGGGGTAGACAGTGCTTCTGGTTCATCTAGGAAGGCTTCCTGGTGGGGGAAGGGGAGGGGCTGAAGTTGTCATTGAAAAGGATGGAGTTTGATACAATGAGGGGGGTGGTGTGGTTTTAGGCCATAACCCTCCCTTTCCTGGGGCAGGTCCTCACATGAGTCATTCCAGAGTTCCCTTGCTGGTCAGTGGGAACATTCTAGTGTGTGACATCTCCCTGGCAACAAGCTGAGTTCCTGGAAAACAACAATCACAGAGAGACAGTCCACCACCTCTACCCTCTTAACTCTTCCTTAGAAATCCTACTGTCTGCAGCTGGGAATGAATGGAATGAAGGTCAAGGATGAAGTAATAACCAAATATTGGGTTTTGGGTGCCCTGGTAACTGTCCGGTTTCCAGTTAGGGTTCCTGGGTGACATCTTCCTTCTGGGGGAAGACAGAGTCAAATGAGAAACGTGAGTTGAGCCCAGGGGAAAGGATCATCCGGGAGATGCCTGAGGGGCTCCAGGGCATCGTAATCTCTTGCTCAGCTGGCAGAGTGGGGCTGACACGGCCAGCTGCTCTCTGGAGTCCTCGGCCTTCCTGTTTCCCCCTGAGGACTTTGAGTGGGGAATCTAAACCATATGTCTCTGATTCATTTACTGTGAACTCATCAAGTTGCTGTTTGGCAAGAGTCCTTGGATGTCTCGGAAGAGCTTTTGGTTTGGTTTCATTTGTTCTTTCTAGTGCTTTTCCTTTGAAATAGGAAGTTTATGTTTGCCAAAAATAAGTTGAAAAGCTAGATTTGATATTGGATCAGAGCATAAAAAGAAATCAAGAAGATATTATCCTTTGTGTTTCCCTATTTTTAACTTCGCAATGCAGGCAAGTCATAGCTGACATTTAATTCTGCGAATTGGGTGCTATCATTATCCCCATTTTACAAATGAGAAAACTAAAGCCTAGAGTGGTTAAGTAAATTGCCCAAGTCCACATAGCTAGTAAAGTGGCAGCTTTATATACGTGCACAGTAGCATCACCAAGGGCCTATCTTGCTTTTAGGGGCCTATGTAAATATTTTAATTTCTTTTAAAATCAGAAAAAATGAACTTGATGTTGAAAGAGAATTTAATGTATTTGTCTTTCTACCAACACAGTCATATAAAGTTTAACCCTTTCAGAAGCAGCACCATCTTGAGTACCAGGGAGAATGAGAGAGAGAATGGAAGGAGCAGTGGTTGGGTGTCCACTGTGCTCGGCGGGGCTGACCACTGTGTGAAAGTGGCCCAGATGCCACGTCAGCCCCCTCACTGAGGGGACTAAGCCCACACCCTAAGATAGAGAAGACTGTATTTAATAAAGTGCCACTGGGCTTTGACTAGGTAGATCACACGAGGCTTCACGAAGGAGCTGGGATTTGAGAAGAGGGTTAAACATGAAAGGATGGGAAAGTAGAGACAATTTGAGGAATGGAGAATTCCCTGTATGGGGGGAGACTGGGGGTAGCTGATGTAGAGGTTGTGTTAATTATTAGTTAAAACTCGGTTTCTAAACTACTTTTGAATTGTATTTTGTTTGTATTTCACTTTGAAGATCTGCATCTAGCTGTTATTTGTTTTCATTCTGTCAGTGATAATTAAAGCTCAATTGTTACTTAAACTCACAAATGATTATCTTCTGTAATAGAAAGGTAAACAGGACTTTTGTTTTTGTTCATTTTGTTATTTCCTGTTAGAGGTTAACTAATATTCATTCTTTAGCAGTTTATGTCTATATAGCAGACATAGATGTAGCAGGTATAGATATTGCTGTTTAGCAGCAATAATTAGGAAATTGTCCAAAAGGTCATAGGAAACCATCTCACTTCCTTATTTTTGCACCAAAATGACATACCAAACATTGCAGTGTGATTTCCATGGAAAGGACTCATGGTTTACAAACAGTGCCCCTCAGAGACAGGACTTGGTAAAGACACCTTGGGGGACAAGGGGGTAGGCAAGGCGGGCAGGGAGTGGCCGGGGGGTAAGCAGCAAGTGGGTGCTGAGGTCCTTTTCCCTGCTTTAACCTGATCAGGCTGTTTACATATGGTAGGGTTTCTAGAAAAGATTTCATTTTTTAAAAGGGGGATCCTCTGAAAAAAATGAATTTGAAAACCACTGCTATAAAAACTTTAAGAAAGTTAAAATCTCTAGGAACTAGGTGGTTTATTTCTTTATTCTCTGCCTATTCCAGGAATAACCTAAGATGGCTTATCAAATATTAATACATATCATTCAGCAAGTTTTGTTAAGCAAAGCAGAAATGGAAAGAAGGAAAAATAATGATAGAGACGTCAGACATCCCCAGGGCAAGGTTCATGCACCAATGTACCCGAGGAGGAGCAGGCCAGCAGGGCTGGGCGGCACAGGCTGCAGCTGGCAGGCCTGGTTCACAGAAGGGTCATGCAGACGCAAGCCATCCTCCCTCTGCAGGATGAGGCGATGGTGGCCTGGGCAGAGCCCTGAGATCCTGTGGAAGCTCCTAGGATATTAGTGAGAGTCCTTGGGAGGTTTGTTTGACTTTGCACAAGCGCGTCGTTCTCCATCCCAGCCACCATCTTTGTCCTTTCCTTCCTTAAAGACGCATAAACCATGGCAAGTGGAGGTCTCTGCCTGCCCACCCGGCTGTCCTCAGTCCTCTGGCCACACACCCTTCACACCCTAGTCACCCCCCAATCAAAAATGATCAAAAGCCAAATTTGATCATTTGTCTTGGGTTTACTCTGGGCCAGGTACAATTCCAAGTACTTCATACATTCAGTCCTCCATGTCTGTGGGTTCAACCAACAGTGGATAGAAAATATTTTTAAAAAACCAAACATCTGTACTGAATATCTACATTTTTTTCTTGTCATTATTCCCTAAACAATAAAGTATAACAACTATTTACATAGCATTTACATTGTATTAGGAATTATAAGTAATCCGGAGTTGATTTAAAGTATACAGGAGGATGTGCATAAGTCAATGTAAATACTAAGCCATTTTATGTCAGGGACTTGAGCGTCTTTGGATTTTGATGTCCATGAAGACTGCTAGGTAAATTACTGTGTGGTTTCTCCCTGAGTCATCAGCGCAGGGATGAGGTTGGAGGAGCGAGGTTTTCCTGCCAGTATTTGGGTTCTCTTTACCCGAAGAAACCAATCCCCGGAAGATACTGAGAGACAACTGTATGTGTTAACACTTTTGATTCACACAACATCCCTATGAGGTGGGTAATATTATCATCCCCATTTAACAGATCAAGAAACCGAGGCACAAAGAGGTTAAACAACTTGCTCAAAGTCATACATCTGGTGACAGAGCCGAGATTTGAAAGCAGTTTGGTTCTGCGCTCTTTCTACTCTACCGTGGAGCCCCAATTTCCCAACTCATTACAACCTGCTGGTTGCAGAGTGGGACGTTATGCTGTCCCTGAGGCTGAAGTCCCAGGTTTTACCCTCAAGTGAGCTACTCAGTCACACCTTGGCCTGTCCTGTTTGGGGGCCACAGATGGCACCTTGCAGTCTGTCCAGCCATTTGTTGATATTGCAGATCCCAAAGAGAACCCAAGGTTGGAAGGAGTAAGGGAGCTCAAGGCAGGCTTTTCTCACAAAGGAAAAGGCAGCAAAGAAGTAGGATATGCAAGACAGGATCTTGGTTGCTCCATGGTTTCATCTTATCAATAATAATTGATGTTATGACAGATACCACTTAGAGCCAGACACTGTTCTAGGCATTTTACATTCATGATCTTATTTAATCCTCAAAGCAACTGAGCAAGGTAGGTATTATTAGTCTCACTGTACCAGGAGGAAATTGAGACCTAGAGGCCACAGTGAATTCATCTCTGCTTTTCCCCAGGCCATAGCACCCAAGTTTTCTACGTGGTCACCACCCTTGTGCCCTCTACACCCATTTGCACAGAAGCTGCTTCATGAGGGTTCTCAGGATCTGTATTTGCTTCTGCTCCTGCCTGTCAGTTCCTCAAAAGCCAAGGCTGTGCTCACTAGTTCTCTTCACGTCCTTCCTCTCTAACTCCAAGAGCCCCACAGAAAGCTCTTCGTAAGGTAGGCTCTGGTTCGATGCTGCAACTTCACAGCTAGGATGACATCAGCAGCTGGCACCGCTGGTGGAAATGCAGAAATGAGGAAACAGCCAAAAACAGAGTTCCCCGATCCTTCTTCACCCCCGACAACTCCTTACTTGCATATATATGCATAAAGGATGAGTCTGCCTAAACACCTTAGAAAAATGCCTACCCTTGAGCGTCCAAGCCTCAGCTGTGTAAATCGTCATGCAAATGAGGCAGCAGCTGTGGGCCTGGTTGCCAGAGCCATTTGTGTCCTCTCACACCTAAAGAAAACACAAATACTGGTAGGAAAAGCCCGCTCCTCCAGCCTCATCCCTGCCCTGATGACTCAGGGAGAAACCACACAGTAATTTACCTAGCAGGCTCCAGAAGCAGCCTCTTCACTTCCCTGCCAACCCTCCTCACCCACCCGCACCCCCGCACAGGCAGGGGGAGGTGATAATAAGCAGGCTCTTACCAGCTGTCTTTGCAGGGGCAGCGAAAATGATTGCTCAGCCTTGTTCAGGAGAACATACTCCCCCAGCCCTGGCTAATTCTTGGGCATGTGGGGCATGGGAAGGAAACTGGTGCCAGGCTGGCTCAGGTCTTAGAAAAGTGTCATTCATCTGGACAGTGCACGGACTTTGTAACAACTTAGTGATGGAACCAAAGCTTACTTTTGTGCCATTTATGAGGGAACTAATTTATAAGCAAAGGAACTCAACTATTTGCTCATTTATTCAATGTATACATGACAACACAATAAAGGAGAGTTTTTTTAAAAAAAAAAAACCCTAAAAATGGCTGTTATTAGCATGAAAAATCAGCTGTAGCACTTTAGCCTATGGGAGAGAATTAGGCATTTTCAAGTTGTTTCAAGGGTCTTGAGTTTAGTAAAAAAACAGACCTAGAAATTTCAAATAATGCTTTTCTCTTTATTGAGGTAGATTCACAGAACCCCCTTCTTGTCAACCTCTCTCACTCCATGCAATGAAAATACATAGCCTTCAAAAAAAATTAAAAAGGCACTTGTGTTTTACAATTTTTAAATAATTTACTTCTTCAAATTTTCAGAATATCTTCCCTACCTCAATTATTCTGAATGGATGAGATAACTCAAAAGCATGTTTTTATAAAGTGACTTTGGCTTTGGAATGTATTATTTGGGGTGCATTTGTAAGTCCTCTACATTCCAAGTTTGGTCTGTAGACCAGCAGCATTGGCATCACCTGGAAGCTTGATTGAAATGCAGAATCTTCAGTTCCTGATTCTCCTGGTCCAGGAGCTGCAATTTAGCAAGATCTCCGGGTGCTTTCAATGCACATTGAAGTTCAAGAAGCACCTGTTGGATATCGTCCTCATGGGCAATGGCCTGACTTTGAGAGTTTTTGCTTTGCTCCCAATGATGCTAGAAGGGCTGGTTCTCTCTGAGCAAGTGGTAGTGTTCTGAGGACAGCTGGTACTAGACCTTGTTGGGGTTTGGCCTCAAAAACAGATCAAGTGGGTGGGTTCACACACCATGACCTCGGCAGCTGGCCTCCAGATCAGGAGGAGCAACAAGGACATTTCTTGAGCTACCTGTTGGATTCCCCTTTCTTGACTTCAGGGAAAGGAGGAAGCCCTCACAAATCCTTTTGCAATCTTCTCCTGTCTCCACTCTTTTATATCTTCAGTGTAACTGAGAGGTTTCACCAGTCAGGTAACCGGTCTTAAATTTCTTTTGTAGTAAATTTTGTATACAGCCTAGCACTTCCTTTAGAAAGTAGCATCTATTGTAACTTGGTAGCTGATTCAAAACTTCAACATTACATCTTGTGGCATGTATAATAGAAAAAGAACTGGGAAAACCCTAAGTGTTTACCAATTATTGGTTCAATAAATTATAGAACATCCATGCCATAGAGTATTAGGCAGTAGTTAAAAAGTATAGGGCCCGTCTCAATGTGTGAACATGAGACAGTGTCCAGGATGTATTACATGAGAAAGCAAATACTGTCATCCCTCCCTATCCACATGAGATTGGTTCAGGAACAACGCAAAAATACCAAAATCTGAAAGTGCTCCAGTCCCTTATATAAAATGGTATATACTATTTGTATATAACCTATGCACATCCTCCGTATACTTTAAATCATCTCTAGATTACTTATAATACCCAATACAGTGTAAATGCTATGTAGTGGTTGTTATACTATGTTGTTTTTTATTTGTATTATTTATTATTATATTGGGTTTTAAAAATATTATCAATTCACAGTTGGTTGAATCCACAGATGTGGAATTCTCAGATACAGAGGGCCAACTGTATCTAGTATTACCTCATTTGTGCCTGAAAGAAGAGGAAACGATCTTCATGTATAGCCTTTATGTGCACAGAATATTGCTGGTTGTATATCTTAGAACCTGGAATAGCCACTGCTTCTAAACAAAGGGTCTTTTTTTTTTTTTGAGACAGGATCTCACTCTGTTACCCAGGGTGGAGTGCAGGGGCATGAACACGGATCACTGCAGCTTCGACTTCCTGGCTCAAGCAATCCTTCCACTTCCTGGCTCAAGCAATCCTTCCACCTCAGCCTCCTAGGTACTGGGATTACACGTACACGCCACCTCGCCCAGCTAGTTTTTGTATTTTTTTGTAGAGAAGAGGTTTCACCATGTTGGCCAGGCTGGTCTTGAACTCCCAGGCTCAAGCGATCCACCCACCTCAGCCTCCCAAAGTTCTGGGCTTACAGGCGTGAGCCACCAAGTAAAGGGTCTTAAAGGCCGGAGCTGGGAGAAGAATTACTTTCACTGTGTATTATTTGGTACTTTTGACTTTTTTTTAACTGTCTGTATATATTACATTTTAAATTCCCAAAGGATTATATAGTCATTTAAAAATTATGGTTATGAAGATTAATATAGCAGCATGAAAAATTTTTATGATGTAAAGTGAGAAAAGCGAACATCCGTAGTCAGTACGTGCATTCCAATGTCATCTATGTAAAAATGAGCAAATAAAAAAAGACTCAAAGAAAAATGAACAAAATTTAAGAGTAGTTATGTTACAGCAGTGGGATTTTCCATAGTTACAGAAACCAACTTTATTGATGTATATAGTTTATATGCAAAAATGCATCCATTTTAAGTATACTATTGGAGGAATTTTGACAAATTTATATACTCATATAACCATCACCACAATCAAAACACAGAACATTTCCATTATCCCAAAAAGTTTCCTTGTACTTTCTCATTCCATCCTGGTGTGCAATCAATGATGAGTTTTCTGTCACTATAAGTTATATCTTGTTTTCTGTCTCTATGAATTAGAATCATATACTATGTACCCTTTTTGTGTCCTGGCTCCTTTTCCTCAGCATAATACCACATCCATCCTCTCCTTCTTCCTTAGTAACTGCATCCTGGGCAATATCCCCAGCTGAAAGATTACGCTTCCCAGCCTTCCTTGCAGCTAGACGTAGCCATATGACAAAATGACGCCCAATGAAGCATACATAGAAAAGTCATGTGAGACTTCTGGAAAAGCTTCTGTAAAAGTGAGGAGCAGACACCCTTTTCTTTTTCTTCTCCTTTCTCTTGCTGTTGGCCTGGAATGTGGACCTGATGGATGGAGCTCTGGCAATCATCTTGGAGTATGAAGTGACCTTAAGGATGAACAGAAAAGAAAATGAGCCTGGGCCTTTAATGACACAGTGGAGCTGCTCCCAGCTTGGCTACCTTCCTCTTAGTCTGCTTTTATAAGAAAATATATATATATCTTGTTTAAGCACAAATATTTTGAGTTTTTCTGCTGTTTGTTGCTAAAAGTAATTCTAATTGTTCCATAAGCCTTCTAGCACTATTGCATTTTTAAATTATGCATTTTTTGATCAAAAATTAAATTGTAATGTTAAAAAATAAAACTTTATACTAAGATCTGACAAAAACAGTTTAAGAAAAACATTACAGGCTGGGTGCAGTGGCTCACACCTGTAATCCCAGCACTTTGGGAGGCTGAGGTGGGTGGATCACCTGAGGTCAGGAGTTCGAGACCAGCCTGGCCAACATGGCGAAACCCCTTCTCTACTAAAAATACAAAAATTAGCCAGGCGTGGTGACGTGCACCTGTAATCCCAGCTACCCATGAGGCTGAGGCAGGAGAATTGCTGGAACCCAGGAGGCAGAGGCTGCCATGAGCCGAGATCGCACCACTGCACTCCAGCCTGGGCGTCAGAGCAAGACTCTGTCGAAAGAAGGAAGGGAAGGGAAGGGGAGGGGAGGGGAGGGGAGGGGAGGGGAATACAGACCAATATCCCTCATGAACATAGATGCAAAAATTCTCAGCAAAATATTGGCAAATTGAATCCTCAATATAAAAAATGAATATGCATGACCAAATGAAAGGCTGACTCAGCATTAAAAAATCAATGTCTATAGTCCCAGCTACTTGAAAGGCTGAGGCAGGAGGATCACTTGAGCCCAGGAATGTGAGGCTGTAGTGCACTCTGATCACACCTGTGAACTGCCACTGTATTCCAGCCCAGGCAACATAGCGAGACTTCATCTCAAAAAAAAAAAAAAAAAAAATCAATCAAGTATTAATAATTCTCCACAGAATAAAAGAGAAAATCAAATAACCATCTCAATTGATGCAGAAGAAGCATTTGACAAAACTAATATTCCTTTATGATAAAAATTCTCAGCAAACTAAGAATAGACAGGAACTTCTTCAACTTGACAAAGGGCGAATCTGAAAAAAACTACAGCTAACAACATAATTGTGAAAGACTGAATGATTTCCCCTAAGACAGGGAACAATGAAAGGATAACTGCTCTGAACATATCTATGAAATATTGTGCTGGAGCCCCTAGCAATGTCTAAGGCAAGAAAAAGAAATAAAAGGCATAAAAGGTTGGAAAGAAAAAGTAAAACTTTCTCTAATTACAGGTAACATGATTGTCTACGTGGACAATCCTATGGAATCTAAAAAAAAAAAAATCCCAACCCTTCTAGAATTAATAAGTGAATTGAGCAAGGTTAAAGGATACCAGGGTGATATATAAAAATGAATATACTAGCAACAAAGAACTGAAGAATTAAAATTTTATAAATCCCATTTACAATAGCCTTGGAAAGCATGAAATATTTAGGCATACATTTAATGAGTGATTTGTAAGACTTCTACACTGAAGATTATACAACATAACTGAGGCTGGGCATGGTGGCTCCTGTCGGTAATCACAGCACTTTGGGAGGCCAAGGTGGGCGGATGGCTTGAGCCCAGAAGTTCGAGACCAGCCCGGGTCTTGAACAAGGCGAAACCCCATCTCTATAAAAAATACAAAAATTAGCCAGGCATGGTGGTGCACGCCTGAAGTCCTAGCTACTCAGGTGGCTGAGGCGACAGAATCGCTTAAGCCTAGGAGATCATGCCACTGCACTCCACCCAGCCTGGGTGGTGGAGCAAGACCTTGTCTCAAAAAAAAAAAAAAAAAAAAAAAATCACTCAGAAAAATTAAAGAATATTTAAATACATGAATAGATGTATTACCATCTATGAATAGTGAAGACTCACTATTAGCAGGATGTCAGTTTCCTCCACATTGATCTATAGATTCAGTACAATCCTATGTGAAAACAGCTGGAGTTTTTAGACATTGACGAGCTGATTCTGACATATAAATTTACATAGAATTTTAAAAATAATACAATGAATCTAAAATAGAAAAAAAATAAGACCAAGATTGTGACAGAGACACACATGAGGTTCTACAATGGCACAGAGGAAGAAAGAATAGCTCTGATTAGGTGACTCGAGGGAGGCTCCCCAAAAGAGGTGACTGAACAGCGCCAGCATCTGGGTGCTCAGGTAAGCAACTGACTTTTGAAAAAAACTCCCTGCTTGATCCTGGTTGAGAACTACGGGTTCAAACAAGGTGGTGCCTGTGGGGACAGAGACGGGAGAACAGATGGAAGACAGGATGGACATGAACACCAACTGGACTTGGTGGAAGAAAAAAATCCAATTAACTCTGGTTTCCAGCTTGGGAAGCTGGGTGGATAATGATTTCATATTCCAGGATTTGGGAAATGGAAAGCAAATTAGTTTTATACATGGCAGTGGGGATGAGAGAGAGGTTGAGAGAAAAATGATCTCTATATGCCCTCCAGAGAGCTCAGAAACTCAGTCCTCCCAAGTGGGTCCAGCAGTGCAGAGAGCTGGAGACAGGCTGACCCCAGCTGCCCTTTAGGTTTTGCCTCCGTGGGGCAGACCCTGCTGCTGAGGAAGTTGTGCTCTGAGCATTAGCTGGACAGCTGCTGAATCTTAGGGCTCTGAGCTACTATAAAGCAATTTTCTCCATGGTTTCGTTGTTTAGCATGGACTTTGTTAGCCTCTAGACAATTGTCCCTTGGTTTAGAATGCCGGAACAAATTTGACCAGTGGAGTCCAGTTCCAGGATTCTACTCACATTGTTCCACTGACGAGATTTTAATAAAGGGATATTTCCAGGGATGAGAGCCAGGTTAGGGAGCCGACCAGGGATGTGGAGGCACACAGGAGCTCTCCATAGTGGAAGCTATTACCACGTGGAGGCTGGAAGGGGCAGAGGGAGAGGATGGTATTACTGAGGCCCAGTGGAGATTACAGCCATGGAGGAGGAGCTGGGCCCCTGGAAGAATGCAGCCACTGCCAGGCCAAGCCTCTGAATCAAGAGGGCGCAGACAAAAAATATCCTCTATCACCACCCTCCTCACCCCTCAGTCTCCAACTGGTGCCTCCCACTGGCTAATGCCGATTGGAAGCCAGCAATCAGGGGAGCATGAGCAAAGAACGGTAGGGAAGGGACCAGGTGTGTGGGGTCAGGGGCAAGCAAGATACCAACACAGCCACACTGGAACACAGCCTGTGTAAAAGCAGGGGCATGGGTAACTCGGAGGAATGACAGAAAAACCATAGCACAGAAGTCAGGACTCTTGGATCCCTGCCCCAACGCACACTGAGCGTCCTGGGAGGCATGCTGCTGGCATCTTAGGCCTCGACTGCTTTGGCTGCAAAATGAGTAGGCTGGACCATTCAGTTGAGTGAACTTTGTGGCCTTCCACAGAGAGTTCTCTGACCCTGCTGTAAGTCAGCTGGCCCTCCCACCAAGCACAGACTGTGGCTCGACCCCAGGCAGAGAGGAGTAGTGCTGGGCGAGGGGAGTGCCGGGGAGGCCTAGGACTGGCCAGCATCTGGGACTAGAGCTGATGCTCCTCTTTTCCAGCAAACCCATGGGACATGCAGAGTCAACAAGGGACTTTTCTTAAACGTACTTTTCACGGTGGTGAGGTATATTCAAAAAGAAAGAAGAGTATTCATCTCCAGAGAGCAGCAGTTTCACAGACCCGTGTTGCTGTAGCTCCAAGTCCTGGTGCCCCCTGCTCAGTTCCTGATAACTGAAGATGAAACTTGAACAGCAAAAGGGAAGTTCTCCTGTCTCCTACAGGGTATCAAATCCTGTTTCTAGATGGTTTCAGTTCTTAAAGACACAGGATTCCATATTTTCTCACCCAATAAGCTGGAGGCAAAGAAGCTTCAGTGACCACCAACCACATTTGCACAGCCCTGGGGTGAAATGGGGCTGTACCGCAGAGCCTTTCTGGAATCCGGGTTTGAAAGGGGGTCCCAATATTTCCAACATGTGTCATCTTTCTCCTTATTAATGTAGAGAATTGGTCCAGGTAAGTGCACAGATTTGCTCAGTCAGCTCTGGGTCCCAGAGGGCCTCTTAGTTTTCTACAGTTTTCTACCTTCCTAGTTTCTACAGGGTCAGATGCCTCATAGGAGCACATGCTACTGTTTTCTTTTGGAGGTGGGAAGGGCCTGTTCACACTGGCTTCAAAGTTACTCACAGGTCAAGCTCAGGGAGTTGCTCGTTCCCTTACTGTGCCTATGAAGTGTCCCTGTCCTCTGGGAGGACAGACAGAGACTGGGATCTTGCTGCTTTCAAAGTGTTTGGTCACAAATACACGTTCAAATATGTGTTCTGCAGTTTATTTAAAGAGGATAAAGGAGGGAAACAAAAAAGACAAAGAGAAAAATAAGAAAAAGAAAAGGTGGAACAGGTGGTTAGCAAGGGTTCCCAAGCACGTGGAAATACATAGTAAAGAAAGAAGGTGATGCGTCCACTGAGGAAGAGGAAAGGGAAACGCTACCACAAAGATTTCACTGAGGCCCAAGGCGTTTTTCTCCTTGAAGTCAGACACCAGACACTGGAAGAGGTGGATACAAGATGCTGTGGCATCTTTCACATCAGAACACAGTCATTTGTTTACTCATTTACTTAAATAAACAACAACAATATGGCCAGGTGCGGTGGCTCACGCCTGTAATCCCAGCACTTTGGGAGGCTGAGGCAAGTGGATCACCTGAGGTCAGAAGTTCAAGGCCAGCCTGACCAACATAGTGAAATCCCATCTCTACTAAAAATACAAAAATTAGCTGGGCATGGTGGCACGCACCTGTAATGGGAGGCTGAGGCAGGAGAATCACTTGAACCCAGGAGGCGGAGGTTGCAGTGAGCCAAGATCATGCCACAGCACTCCAGCCTGGTGACAGAGAGAGACTGTCTCAAAACAAACCCCCAAAAAAAACAAAACAAAAACAAAACAAACAAACAAACAAACCCAACCAACATAACGGGATGCATGCTGTGATTCAGAGTCAAGGCAAGCAAATGGGAAAAGCCTCTCATCAAATTTGTCAGAGATCACAGAAGTCTTCTGAGGAAGCGGTGTCTAGCTTGTGCCCTAAAGGTGCTTAGGAGTTGGAGAGAAATGACGGGGAGGAATAGCAGCTATGAGGGCCTAATTCAGGACAAGGCAGCCCAGGACAGCAGAACAGGTGAGGTGGCTCGGGGACTCTCTGCTCCTTGGAAATTACACAGTCAATACATCATGCCCTGACTTTCTCAGTGTCTCTATGCACTTGGGGGTAAATAAACATCTTCCAAAAACACTAGCTTCATTTGACACTGTTTAAATATATTTTTTAAAAAGGCAAAATCATGTTCTTATTTATACATGAAATATGCAAGTGTTAAGGCTTTTATTTATTGGAAATCACTAATCAATGAGGGAGCCAAGTGGTTGTAACCAGTTCAAAAGATAATCTGAAAAACAGGCATGTTTCCGGATTTGGAATATCAATATGAATGTGCAAATGGAGGCAAACTGGTCTTTCCAAGGGAGAGGGAGGAGGAAAATAAATTGATCATCTATGGGCAGGACATAATTTGCATGTCTACAGATAATGACTTTGCATTGTTTTGAATCAGCTACAATTGACAGAGTTGTCAAAGCTCAAAGACACTGCAAGACTCTTATCAGATAACCTGAGGGGTGTCCCCTAGACAATGCATAGTTTCCTCTTGCATATTTTCCCTACGTGGCCAGCCTGTCAAATTCTCTTGCTTTTTGTCTCCTCTGGCCAGGACCACGGGTGATTTGTGTACCCAACTCCTCTGTGCACACATGATAAATGAAGTAATCCTAAGCAAATATTAAGGACTTACACGGTAATGATGTTGAACAGATAGAAATGTGATAACTATATTTACAGCATTTAAATGAAATTAAAGTTAACAACTGAAGAGATTTGTGTCCTGGGTCTATTTCTGTCTCACATCTCCATTATCATCATCAACCTATTGTCACTTTCATCACTGTTATTACAAGGCCTTTCTTAAGCAACGTCTTTGCTGATTTATGGGAACTCCACATTTACAACAGGCAAACTGACCTAGATGATGAATTATAGGAGCAAAGAAAGTAGGTTATGTCCATGCTCTTAAATGGGGAAACAACAATGAGAAATTCATATCACAAATATGAAAGTGATTTTGTAGGGGTTGGAGTAGGGGTGAAGGCTTAACTGGGATGAAGACAACTAGGGAGGGAGTACCCATTCAGTCAGTCAGTCACACAGATTTTTTTTTTTTTTATTTTTTTTATTTTTAGTGCTTACCATGTGCTAGGCATGGTGCTAAGCAAGCAGGCATATAGGAATGAATAAAACACTCTCTGACCTGTTGCTTACAATCTTAGTAGGTATGTTCCCTGTTCAGACCAGATGGGGGAAAGCATTAGATTTCCTCTGACCAAAACAAGACAGGTCTGGAGGTGAGATTTCAGAAGTTGTATGATAAGGGGACCCTTTAAGGTGTATGTGGGTGAGGGATGTGTCTTTCCCTTGTGTGTCTTGTTTCACCACGATGTACACAATGGGGACTTAAGCTTTCATTGTTTGAACAATAATTTGTAAATTAATAACTAATCAGTATTTTAATCATTTTTATATTATTAGTATTTATTTTTATAAAAATTATTAGTTTATTGATAGTAATATTGTTTATAATGTGCATAAATGATTAATATTTAAATATTTATAATTAATATGATTTATGATTAGCATAATTAATTTATTACTAATAAAGATTCGATATTCCAAATGGTTACAGCTAATTTGCAAATTAGCTGTAACAATTAAAGAACTTCTGGGAGGTACTTTCATTTATTCTTTCCACTCTCAGCCTCAGGTTGTTGTCCGCCACTGGTGTTTCTCAAACTTTCTTGCTTTCTCAATTTCAGAAAGTACTGCCTGGTGAATTGAGCCTTCTCTGGGTTTGTGACATTCTGGAAGGTACTTTTTGGTCTTGCCATTAGCCTGAAGGAAAGCCTAAGGAAGCTCTGTGAAAGCTGAGGATGCTTGGAAAATGGTCCTTTCTCTCAGGCTTCTGGGCAACAGTAATGATTACACATTGTCCAAGAACCTGCCACCCCCAAGTTCAAACAACACAGGGGCCAATTCAGAGCACAGCAGAAGCTTATATCCTACACAAGGCAACCGAAAACTTAACCCAGTTCCAGATGAGTCTTGACTAAGAAATGAATAGATAAGTAGCAGGTTATTAAGGGAAATCAGGGAAGTTCCAGAGCCCATCTCTGGCCTTTCAGGATGGTGTGGTAGAATGCAAACAATGGACTCTCCCTTGCACTTTCCCTCAGGGCTGTGGTTAGAATTCTGTGCTAGTAGCCTTCGTTCTGATCTGTGATGATATTTCTGGTCTTCTCAAGAATATCATACCAGAAAAAGGTGATGCTAGAACAGCCAAGAGAACAGGTGAGCTGTTTCAAGGGGCAGTTTGTCTTGAACACAGCCTTGGACTTAGGGTTCAAGCCCTTCAAGCATACCACGCCAAGAGCACTACCACTGCTAAATACAAACTTTTGGTGTGGGTCACGCTAATGGTGATGATGTCCGTGGTGGTGGTGTTGACCACACCTATCTCCTTTGTCTCACAAAAATAGGGTGGGACGCTTTCATCAAGGTGGTCCATTTCCAAATGGGCACTCCAGAAAAGTTCCCTTGACTCCAAGCATACAACAGTTTCGAGATTTGGGCCTTGGTTGGCCACACCCCCAAACCTCAAATTATGCAGCATTATGGGGGTGTGAGGGAACTTCCCCCAGCACACCCTCCTGTGGATTCAGCAAAACCGTCCCAGGAGAAGGGATGATTTAGATTCAGAGAACAAGGATCCCCATTCCCTCCTTCCCTTTTCCAACCCTCTTTCCTTCTCTTCCTCCTCTCCATTCTTGCTTTCTTTTTGCTCCCTGGCTCTCTTCTACAGGCCTCCTTCATGCAGCACGGATGACCCTGCCAGGACTTCCTGGACCTCAAGGGAGGGAAGGTGTGTCACTGAGAGCTGGGGCCTCCCTTTTTTTTTTTTTTTTCTAGTTCTTGCTGGGGCAAAGCCCACAGCCCTGTGTCAGTAAATACCTCCCGGGTGGCGGAGACCCCAGCATTGGTGGGAAAGAAGAGAGGGGCTTTTGGGACTGTCGCTTTCCTGTCTGTTAAGAGTCATCATTCTTTACCAAGATTTGGGGTCAAAATTGGGTCCTGATTACTGAATGGAAACCCCAAGGTTCAAGGCTGGCTGGTGCAATACAGGGCGAGATTGCGGACAGGAAGTGGTGTGGCTGTGTGGGTGTGAAGGAAGGACTTCCTCCCTCTCTGACACTTTCTATGCCGAGGGGGCCTTTCTCAGGCTGCCTTCCTTCCTTCAGCCCAGCAGGCAGCCGCTCTGAGACTTGAGATGCAGATGCCCAGCACAAGTCCTGGTGCCCAGCGGCAGTACGAATAGAACCACGCAAATCCAGTCCTCAGCACCTTGTGTACTACCCTAGTCCCTCCTGGAAGAATACAGCACCTTCTCAGGCTTATACTCTGCAGAACTTTTACTTTTTCAGGTAGGAGTAGCCCAGGGGACATTTGTTTTTCAGGACTCTGGTCCCATCTCCAGTTATCTCAGAGGGGACATGACCCTCAGCACCATGGGCTGCCTTAGTTTTGCTTCCCTGCTTCCAAATATATTGCTTTCACATTGAAAGTGGAGGCAGTCTTGATCCTCCCAAAATTCAAGCTCAACCTCAAGCTCAACACAGCAGCTAGGGAGGAGGACGCCTGATTCAGTGGCTAATTTGAATAAAGTTCTCAATCACAGATAAAGCAATTGACAAATTGCAGCAAAGTAGCTGGATCTGGGAGATATTTAGGAGACATAATGGACAGGACTGGGTAGATTAGCTTGGGAACACAGAGAAATCAATAGGTTTCTAGCCAGGTGGGTGATGGACCCTTGATTAAATAGGTAAAAACAGATTGAGAAGCATGTTTGAGGGGAAGATGACGAGATCATGAGTGTATCTTGCGCCACGTTGAGTCGTTGAGTGGAATGTGCTGGAAACATCCTCCGAGAGACACCTAACAGGCAGCTGGATGGATCCACAGGGCTGCCCGCTGGAGAGAGGACTGGGCTCTGGGTACAGATGGGAAAGTTACCAGCATAGAGACAGATGGTGGCTGAGAAGAAGCAGGTAGAGCAAAGAACAAAGGTAAAGGCCATTTTCATAGGCTGTTGGGAAGTAAAGGAAAATAAGACTTGAGATGTGACCATTAGATTTAGTGACCAGAGCTTACTGGTAAACTCCAAGGAGTCAGTTTCAGTGAGGGGGTGGGAGAAAAGGCTGGATCTTATGGTAGAGCCTGACAGATATTCACCAAACCCAATTCTTCCTCCCACTGAGCCCTTGGCTAAATTTCATTTCCTGACCTCCCTTGTAGCTGGATGGGGCCAGGTGACCGAGTTCTGGCCATTGAACTGTGGGGAAGTGATACACCGTCACCTCCAGGACATAGTCCTTTGCCTCATCCCCCATGGACCCTCTCCTCCCCAGCCTCCCGGCCAGAATAGAGGGGCTGGGGGATGGCAAGGCCTTGAGGGCGCACAGCAAATGGAAGCTAGGGGACTAACGAGGATTATGATGTGGAGCCAGGGGATCACACCTGAGGTCAGGCTGAATAGGGCTTAAGGATAAGCAGGCCAACGGGGCCAGCAGGCCTGGACACCCTGAGTTAGCAGTGGAGTAGGGGAGCAGGCAGTAGAACAGCAACAACCGCAAGGGTCGGAGCAGGTCAGCGGACAGTCAGGACAGCTGGATTTTGGAAGTCGGGTCAGCCAGAGTCCAGGTCCACAAGCCGGGAGAACTTGGAAGTTCTGCAGGATCAGGCTGAGACTCCTGCAGGGCCACAAATTCCTGGAGTTGAAAGTCAGCAGCAGTAAAACTCCTGCACGTGCCAGGCACACACTTTGTATGTTCCTACTCACCACTGCAGAGACCCCTGGGATCCTGGCTCTAAGCCTACCATTACAGACAGGGTGCTCATCTGAACCGTGCAGATGGAAGGACAGGCCACATTTAGACACTACCTGAGCCGCACCCAGAGTACCTCCTTGTTACATCAGCCTGATTCAATTCATAGAGGATCAGGTGGGAGACCACCTGAGGTCTTAGCCTGGTTCTGCTGCTCACCCACAGGGGACCTTGAGCAAGTCTCTCCCCCTCGCTGCATCTGAGCCCCTTCTCTGCAAAGTGGAGGGGTCAGAATGGATGATTTTAATGTCTCTTGTTCTAAAACCTTGCATCATGCTTTCTGCCCCTGAACTCCCAGCAGGTATGAGTCCTGTTCTCTAACAGCAGCCTTCCAACACGTCTGACAAGGGCAAGTTTGCAGCCTTCAGCCCGTGAGTGTTAGAGACCAGGCAGGCCTCCAGTAGGAAGGGGAACTCTCCCTAGGAAAGGGGGTGTTGAGAGGAGTAGCCAAGAGTCAGCAAGTCCTTCACCCCTGGGAGGGGCTGCCTTCTATTTCTTTCTTGTTTTTTTACTTCTTTAACCATCTACATTTACAGCCAAGCACTTTCCTTTCTGTTCCCATTTCTTGTTCCCTTTATGATGGAATGGCTCCACCCTCCAGAACCACCTCTCTTCCAGGGAAAAAGAGAATTGGAGGATGGGGAGTGTCTTCCCAATTGGTTTTCCTTGCTGGGGCCAGCTTCTTCCTGGCTTGGTTCTGTTTTTCCCAAAAGACGAGAGTCGGGCAGACAGGGCTTTTTGAAAAGAAATTGCTCCTCTTCTCATCTACCCGAATATTTGTTTAAATAAGGAGACAAATTTCTCCACTCAATTGTGACTCAGACTAATACAAAGTTTCTCCCCTATCCTACACCTACTTATAGAACAAGAAGGTGGCCTCAGAGTGGACAGTGCAGTTGAGAAAACCAACCTGGAATAGAAAATCTCCCACGCCAGTCCAGCATGAGTGTGAGAGTTGGCCAAGATGGAAGGCTGTGCAGAGCATGACAAACACACGGGTCACACCCAGCATGCAACTTTGTGACCCAGCTGGGTCAAAGACTTCTGAAGGCCTAGAAGTGGCAAGGAAGTCCCATTGGCTTATGCTCCACCACAGCCCCCTAAAGCCACCTCCCCTGTCTGCTGTGGATGTGGCTGTGGGAGAGTGGCCAGGCAGGGAGGCAAGACCCATGAGCCACAGAACACCCAGAGAAGACAGAAGACGACCTCTCCAGGAAAAGGAAGTGTATTGTGCCTGTAAATTCCCAGAACTGGAGAAGGGAGAGACAATAAGCATCTTTATTATCCAAATTCTAGAGGAAATGGCTCTGCATAACAGCAGAACCTACTAGCTGCCAGGGTGGATGAGAAGTCACTCCTGAGGGTGGCCTCCATGCTGGATCTGCACAAGGGCTCTGTGAGTTTGGCGCCTGTTGGATGTCGGGCTGAGCCCAGTCTGCAGGGAACACAGCTGGCTGGTCCTGGAGCTCCCAGGAGGAGGCCTGGCCACAGGTGCCCCCTGTATACAATTGTGAAGGAAAAGCCTTCCTCCCAGGTATGAAAATGACCAAGGCTCCTTGCTGGGCAGAGGAGTGTCCCCGGCTTCATCGGGGCAAGCAGCCGGCCACAGGGTCCGGCCGGGGAGGCACTGGCACAAAGTTCATAGGGCAGAGCAGCAGCGGGCACATCTTCTCGTGCTCCTTCAGTGCCTCTGTCAGGTGCTTCAGCTCCTCTGTCAGCTTCCCGATCTCTCTCCGCAGCATGGTGTTTTCTTGCTCCAGGCTCTCATATTCCTGGGGGAGACAGAATGGGCAAAATCATTTCTGGTGCAGCGTTCCCTTCCTCCGTCCTCCTGTGCCGCGCTGTTCACCTCTTGCCCATGAAAGCTGTCTCATTACGCATGTCCCCTCCACTGCTCAGATATTCAGATATTTGTCTATTTGATGAGTGTCTCCCCCCTCCCACTGGGAGAAACAATTTATTGAGGTATAACTTACGTAAAATAAAATGTATCTATTTTAAGTATGATCCAGTGAGTTTTGACAAATGTATACACCTGTGTTGATCAATACACGGAACATTTCAATCACTCCAAAAAGTTCCCCATGCCCCTGTGCAGTTAGTCCCCCCAAATGCTGATGTGCTTTCCGAAGATCTCTATTGGGTTCACAGCTATATCCCCAGCACCTAGAACAGTACCTGGAACATAACAAATGTTTGTTGATTGCACTAACAAATGAATGAAAACATCCCTTGCCTTGGCTTTGCTCCAGCACTCACCTGTTCAGTTTCCTCTCCATCAGGGTTTACAGAGGCGTAGAACTGCAGGGTATCAGAGAGGTCCCTTAGCCCAATCCACACAATGTAGAAACCATCCATATCCAACTTGTTCTGGGCACTCCTGCCCTCAATGGACAGACTGTCATTTCTGGGCTGCTCTACTAGACAAATCCTCTTTGTTGGGCATGGTGACTCATGCCTGTAATCTCAGCACTTTGGGAGGTCAAGGTGGGAGGATCACTTAAGGCCAGGAGTTTGAGACCAGCCTGGGCAACACAGTGGGACCCCATCTCTAAAAAAATTTGTTTTAACTAGCCAGGTGTGGTGATGCACACCTATAGTCTCAGGTACTCAAGAGGCTCTGCCAGGAGGATTGCTTGAGCCCAGGATTTCGAGGCTGCAATAAGCCATGATTACAGCACTGCACTCCAGCCTGGGTAACAGAGAAAGATCCCAACTCAAAAAAACAAAAAGAGGAAGAAGAAAGAGAGAAAGAAAAAAAAAGAAAGAAAGAAAGAAAGAAAGAAAGAAAGGAAGGAAGGAAGGAAGGAAGGAAGGAAGGAAGGAAGGAAGGAGAGAGAAAGAGAAAGAGAGAAAAGAAAAAAAAAAAGAAAAAGCTCTTCTTTGTACTGATCCAAACACTCTCACTTTCAAATGTACCTGTTGGGTTTGGTTCCATTTAATAGAACCACATCTAGTAGATCCAATGCTTTTTTCAATATCGCAGTTCTTGAAATGTTAGGATACAGCATCTCAGGTCCTCTGAGTTCCTTGCATCAGGCTCTTCTTTGCCATTCTGGGGACCCTCACCAACACACACTCCAATTTACCAGAATATCTCAGAAAATGTTGCTCCCAGGATGCAATGCATGGTTCTGGAGACCATGCCAAGGGCAAATGTGTGGCAGTGACCTCTCCTGTGCTGGGCCCAAGCCGCTGAGGATTCTCTCTGAGCCTGCAGAGAAATGCAAGCTTTATCTGCATGTGCTGCTTCTCCGTCCGTCCTTGGATGATGATGGATGCTATGGGGCTTAAGGGTAGGATTTTACATCCATCTCCACTGAATTTCATTCCTTATTTGGACATCTTCCAGACCAGCAAAATTGCAAAATCTTTTGGAATCTCAATTGCATCGTCTCATGAATGGTGACAGCACACAGCTTTAAGCCATCCACTAACTTAACACACAGGTCTTCCTTTTCTTCATCCAAGTCATTAATAAGTTCTACAAAAAATAGCCAATGGCAGAGCTCTACGGCATGCCAATAGAGACCCTCTCTAGGCTGGCAATCTCATTTAAATCTTGCTGAAATGTTTTCGTTCATTTCTAGTTTATAGTAAGGCTTTGTTGTACCATGCACACCATGCATTTCCCAAGCTCAGGGCCCAATTGCGTTACTCATCACACTTTCTCTCTGACTAGTAATTTTAAGGGAGTATCACTAAAGAAATGTGATCTTATAGCCCCCAAAGACACATGCAAATTCTCAACCCTGCCCCTTTGCTCTTGCAGTTATCCTCAACTGGACTGCCTTCCTCCTTTTCTGCATGGGTCCAGCTCAAGCCCACCACCTCCAGGAAGGCTTCCCTGACCACAGCACCTACAGGAACCACATCTTTTATTATGTGTTCTATTCTATTTTGTATCATATTCAATTTCACTCATATGAAGTAATGTCTCCCCCCAAAGATCAGAAATGTAAAGGACCTAGGAACTTCTGCTACTCCTCTCCTCTACCCCCTGCCTGATGCGCCACAGCACCAGCACCTACATGCTCAGTGATTCCTCAGCCCTCATCCTCTGTTTCTTCTTTAACCCCATCCTTTCCTTTCAGAAGGGACTCTCAGCATCTTCCTCCCTTTAAGAACCAAGGGGTCTGGCGGGGCTGCCTGTAGGGTCTATCTGAGCCATTCCCCAGGCAGGTTCCCAGGGTGGTCTGGAGCACTCTCCAGGGCAGCAAGCTGTTCTGGGGCCATGTGGCTTCACCAGTACACTGGCCCCATTCTGCCTCTATCCTCCTCCCTGCCTCCCACTCCCAAGCCTTCATGCCCTCCTTTGACCTCTGACAAGCTCTAGTTCTGGAGTGAGAATTCTGTCTACAAATCCAGCCATAAGCTCTCCGTGGGCAAGGGGAGAGTCTGGATGGGAGGATGGGATGGAAGCCAGGGCGTCAAGGGAATCATGCAGGCAGCAGAGGGATGAGAAAAGCTGCAGCACACACACACGTCTGCAAACACACACTCACACACTCTCATACACATTCACACACTCTTACACACATACACATATACACACACTCACACACGTCCGCAAACACACTCACACACTCTCATACACAGCCCGACACACACACTCTCACACACACACACTCATACACAACCACAGACACACACACAGATACACACAGTCACACACACATCTGCAAACACACTCTCATACCCAGCCACAGACACTCTCACACACATACACAATCAACACACAGTCACACAAACACTCTCACAGTCACACACATACAGTCATACACACATACATACACCTCACACAGTCACACACACTCACAAAAACTCAGACTCACATGCAGACTCCCCACATTCACATTCACATACACACTCACACACACACACTCCACCCTGCAGCAGGAAATGCCCTTGACTTTCAAGTAAAATGGAGAGTACATTTGAATAGTTCCAATGTGCTAACATTTTAAGTAGATTCCAAAGGACAAGAAGCCCTCTTCCTTTGGTAGAATATTCCAAGCTGCCTTTCTACATATACTGAATTCCGCAGCAAGACGCTCTGAGCTTCCCAGTTTTGTCTCTGGAAGCCGTGCGCAGCCCTGTGGCCTGAGGCTTCCCTGAGGTCCACTGCCCTCCCCCAACCCATGCTTAGAGTCTTCAGAGCCGCCCGACAGGTGCCCCACGGGCCCCTCATCTGCCTTCTCCATAAGGACTTTCTCTTCTAGGATTTAAGCATTACTCATAAACCCGCTGAGGGACTTTTATTGAGCTGAGGGAATAACAAGAAGAGAAGAAGTCAAAATCTTTAGGTGAGACGAGCCCTTTGAAAATAACAAGAGGAGCTGGGAGGGAAGAAAGAAGAGGCCAGAGAACACTGAATAGCAGCAAAGGGGGAAGAAATGAAACCCACCTCACACCCAGAAGAAATTCCTGGAGTAAACGCAAACAAAAAGCAAGCAAAGAACATTAAACCCTTCATTATTTCCAAAAATATGACCCCTCTAGCTCGAATTCTGCCAAGTTCCAAATCCTTTGCCATGGGAGGGTTTGAGGTTGCTGTGCTCCCTCTCTGGGTATTTGTCGGGACAGTTTCAAAGCAGACACCTAAAAATTAGAGGTGGTGAAATCACTGTGGATCCCAGCTCTGCCTCAGAAATTAAGCTGCCTAAGGCAGTGGATCTCAAGTAGGGCAATTGTGGCAGTCTGCAGGGGACACTGGCAGTGTATGGAGACAGTTTGGGTTATCGCAGCTGGTCGGGGGTGCTACTACATCATGTGGCTAGAGGCCAGGGATGCTGCTCAACATCCAGCAGCACACAAGACAGGCCCCCAACAACAAGGAATTATGCTGCCCCATGCATAAACAGTGTTGAGGCTGAGAAACCCTGTTCTGGGCATCTAGGAGCAGGTGACTGGGATCAACGGGCTGCCTAGGGATACGCAGGGTCCAGGATGCCTCTGAGGCTGAAGACAGGATCAAGGACTGGTAAAGAAGTGGGTACCAGGGACCAGATATGACAACTAAGGTGAGAAAGAAAGAAGTAGGAACAGGCTAACAGGAGGCCATAGCCACACACAGACCCCATTTCACAAGTTAGAAAACTGAAGCTCTGAGAGGTACAGTGACTTTTCCAAGGTCACATAGACCTGGGATCTGACTCCTAACTTCAAGGTCAACTGCAACTCTCTTGTAGCATCAACAATTCTGCTTTTAGTTAGCAGTGCCTGGGTCCAGATTTCCCCATGATGGTTACCAGAAGTAAGAGGCCATAAGATCTCAGGACTTCAGAATAAGTCTACTCCCAAGCCTTCACTGATGCACTTCCCAGCAGAAAAATTGTGTTACCAGCAAGGGCTGTACAAATGAGTGCCACAATCAGTTTCTAAGCCACATGGGTGCTGCCATGAAGCTCTCAGAACATGCAATATCTGAAAAAACCATGGCAACACATACCACAATCACATTGCCCAAGTCATTTGTCAGTTTGTGACATTTGGGGCTCCTGAGGATGGCACTGCTGCTTTCCTTTTGTGACTCAAAATTCTTTCTCAGTCTTACACCTTTGGGGTGCCTGGTCGAGCCAGTCTGACCCACTTCTGAGCCACCTTTCAGCCTGGGTGAGATGAGACGAGACCCTGACTGTTCACTTTGGTTCTCATTTGTCAGTGTGGACTTTGGCACACGCCTAGTGTTCAGAGATGAATGCAGGTCGAAATCCCCACGGGAGGTGTGAGCGGGTTGAAGGGATGATTTGAAAGCCCACAGTGGACTCTGAGGTCTACAGACACACGTTAAGAACTGCTTCTCATCACCGTAGTCCAACTGCCAGCAACCACTGCCCAGAAAACTCTGCGTGAAGGGGAACCCCAGCCCCTGCCTCTCTGGCTTGGCCTGTGCAGCCTCTTCCCCCATTCTCCCCTCCACAGAGGGCTCGCCTTGACGGACACTCCTAGGACTTTGGAGATGGAGAACAAGGAGGGGAGGGAGGTGGCCGAAAAACTCCTAAGAGCTGCAGCTGGGGCAAGTTTCTCAGGGTGTTGGAGGCAACAGAGGCTCAAGTACTCACTTCAGCAGCACATACATTAAAATTGGAATGATACAGGGATTAACATGGCCCCTGAGCAAGGATAATATGCAAATTCATAAAGTGTTCCATATTTTTTTAAAAACCCAGGAAGACGAAAGAGCAAAAAAAACCCAAAAAAACCAGAGGCTCAAGTATAGGTAGAGTATGTGAGTGAGGTGAGGAGAGAAAAGTGGAAACTCTTGTTGCCCAGGCTGGAGTGCAGTGGCGTGATCTCGGCTCACTGCAACCTCCACCTCCCAGGTTCAAGCAATTCTCCTGCCTCAGCCTCCCGAGTAGTTGGAACTACAGGCGCACGCCACCACACCTGGCTAATTTTTGTATTTTTAGTGGAGATGGGGTTTCGCCATGTTGGCCAGGCTGGTCTTGAACTCCTGGCCTCAAGTGATCCACCCGCCTCAGCCTCCCAAAGTGCTGGGATTACAGGCACGAGCCACTGTGCCTGACCAAAAAGTGGAAACTTTAAACAAGTTTGCTCCAAATATCCCCCCTCAGGATATGCAAGAAATGCAAGTAAAGAGCTTGAGTTACTTTGAGATATTCAGGAATGCAATCCCTGCAGTGTGGGATAGAGGAACACATGAAGAAAGCCCTTTGATGCGCTACAGTCTCCAGGGAGCAGCAGGCAGTGGCTGTCAGTGGCTGTTTTCTGGGCCCTCTGGTGTCTCCCAATGAGCTGGCCTCACTCCAGATTTGAGGAGGAGGTTCCTATGCATGGTGTCCCCACCCTAGATTGGCCTGGGAGGTCCAGGGGTCCCAAGGGGCTTTCTGTCATGGCCCGCAGTAGTGTGCAAGGCGCTCTGTGCTCAACTCACTGGAGCTTGACAAAAGGGTTCTTTACACCATTTTTAAACCAGATACCTTGCCTCCAATAGTAGATTTAGTCATCCAATGATACACACAGCTACAATGCCCTCCTGGAAGGAACAGGGAAGGGATTACTCACGTGGTGAGTAATGATTTGGTTCAGAGATGATGTTCCTTTGGTTCTGCAGAAGGTTTGGGATATACTTCCATTTTCCTAAGCCAGTCGTCTGCTTCCTCACCCGCTTGTGACCAACGACACTTGTGTGGAGCTAGTGAGGCTAAGGTGAGGGCTACAGCTCTGGGGTCTGTATACAGGTGGAGCCGCTGTCCTGGCCTCTTTGACCCTGTGATTCTCAATAAAGCTGGTCTTGCTGAGGTGATCTGCCAGTGGAGAGTAATCCTGACCCATTCCTTCAGCCCCACAGAGAGAGAGGAGAAGGGGGTGCTCTTCCGTGGAGTGTCTGGGCTTCAGATCAACCCACCCCATTTCTGAAAAGGGCAGCTGGCATGACTGTCATGCAACACAGTCTCTGGGTTGGAGAGCAGGCCAGGGACCCTACAGAAGAGGTCTCCACCCCACAGTTCCAAGAGAGGTCAGATAGGGGTAAAGGTGGCACCACTCTGAAGTTCCCAGGCACCTGGTTCACTCAGTTATCAAATGCAGCAGTGACAGAAAGTGCGAGAGAGCCAACGCTTCATACAGGTACTTTTTTGATATTGTAGTAAAATTCCGTGAGTATTTACATTTACCTTCTGTGCTAGGCAGCATAATCGATTCACTCCTCACAGAAGTTTACATTCTAATCTCTTGAACCTGCGACTATGTCACCTTACATAGCAAAAGGGACTATGCGGATGTGATTAAGAAGCGTGAGATGGGGAGACTATCCTGGATTATCCAGGCAGACCCAACGCAATCATAAGGGTCCTTGTAAGTGAAAGAGGGTGTCGGGGAGTCAGAGAAGATGTGACAACGGAAACAGCACCAGAGTAACGCAGCCTGAGAAAAACGCAACCGGCCATTGCTGGCTCAAGGAGACTACAAGCCCAGGAACACTGAAGCCTCTGGAAGCTGGGAAAAGCAAGAAAACGAATCTTCTCCAGAACCTCCAGAAGGAAGGCAGCCCTGCTGCCATCTTCATTTTGACCCAATATGACCCACTTCTGATGTGTGACTGCCAAAGCTGGAAGATAGTAAATTTGTGTTGTTTTAAGCCACCAAATGTGTGAGAGTTTGTTTCAGCAGCAGTAGGAAATTAACATCCTTTCCTTGGGAAATTCTAGGCTTCCCACCGACAGGCAAGGCATGAGATCTTCCTCCTCTCTTTGTGACCCAATGGCAATGCCTTGGTATTTGTGAAATGGATCTACTCGACTGTGCTCCATGAAAGATCTTGTCCAAGATATTGTCCTCCAGATACGTATTCAGTCCAGATTTACAACTGATGTTTTTAAAACTAGTTTTTAAAAATATTAATGTACCTGGCTGGGACTAGGAGCTTCTTCAGGAGTAATGCCTTGGCCATCCAGCAGCACATGTGGTCTGAATACAGGGCCATGCACTAACTGGGAGCCACAGGTCCCCTCTGGGGGCTATTTTGGTAACATGACACTAGAACCACAATTGCTTCAGGAGCAAGGGGGAAGAAAGAAAGGAGGCAAAGGGCATTGCCGTTCTTCTGTGGAAATTCTTCAGAACAAAGGCTAGGAGGCACCTTCTGTGACACTAGTCTAGAGACCTCAGTCTCTTTCTAGGGCCCAGCCTTCTTACTTCTAGGAAAGAATCTGACATTTATGATTTATGCCACACTGTGAATTTATATCGGAAGGTCACCTCTCTGTGGAGTATGTACATTCTAAATTTGTTCTCTGTTCATTGTTAGAGTTTTAAGATTGCCCTTTTCCTCTCCTCTCCCCAACACACCTCAGAGTTTCCATGTTGCCAATGCCCCAGAATGGCCTTGCTGAGACGAGCATGGCAGGAGACCTGGCACAATGCCTCATGCCTGTAATTCCAACACTTTGCAGGGCCAAGGCAGGTGGATCGCTTGAGTCCAGGAGATTGAAACTACTCTGGGCAACGTGGCAAAACCCCACCTCTACAAAACTACAAAAATGGCCAGGCGCAGTGGCTCACACCTGTAATCCCAACACTTGGGAGGCCGAGGCGGGTGAATCACGAGGTGAGGAGTTCGAGACCAGCCTGGCCAACATGGTGAAACCCCATCTCTACTAAAAATACGAAAAATTAGGTGGGTGTAGTGGCGGGCGCCTGTAGTTCCAGCTACTCGGGAGGCTAAGGCAGGAGAATCGCTAGAACCCAGGAGGCAGAGGTTGCAGTGAGCTGAGATCATGCCACTGCACTCCAGCCTGGGCAAACAGAGACTCTGTCTCAAAAAAAAAAAAAAAAAAAAAAAAAAACCTACAAAAATAAGGGCTGAGGGGATGAGGTGGGAAGATTGCTTGAGCCTGGGAGGTGGAGGCTGCAGCGAGCCATGATCATGCCATCACACTCCAGCCTGGGCAACAGAGCAAGATCCCGTCTCAAAAAGACAAGAAAGTATAGCAGGAGAGAGCTAAACTAAAATCTTTAATTACACACACCAACCCCGACAAAGACAAGAACATGGAATGGTGGCCCATTCCTCAGATAGATCCTTGGATGCTTTCAAGGCCAGTTCCTGGTATGGAGCAGCTCCACGTCCCAACTGCAGGATTATGCAGGTGTATGCATGAGGGCGGAGGGAAAAGGAATGGCTTAGGATAAATCCTAGGCTTCTGATTTGAGTGATGAGAAAGATGGTTCGCTCCATTAACTGCAGTTTGAAGACAATGAGAAGAGAAAGTCTCAGGGTAAACGGACAATAACACTCTTTTATGGATGTGGTACATCACAGGAGCCTGCAGTGGACCCATGGAGAAACAGCTCAGCAGACACTGAAGCTATGGGGTCTAGGGTCCAGGACAGAGGGCCTGCCTGGAGTAATCAATGTTGGGAGCTGATGCTGGGAGAACAGATTAATAGATTAAGTCTTCCAGGGTGAGAAAAAAAAAAAAGGGCAGAGTTTGAAACACTGGTCACCACCAACATTTAAGCCAATAAAGGGTCGAAGGCTAACAAAGAAATAGAGAAAAAAATCGGCGAAGAGGGTTAGGAAAACTAGGAAATGTGGTCTTTTAGAAGCAAAAGAGGGGAAAGCTTTAAGAAGAGATGGGTCCAAAGTGTCGAATGTTCTAACAAGGTAAAGGATGATGAGACCAGAAAGAGAGTCCTGGATAGGGCAGTGCCAGGGCACTGATGGCTGCAATGGGAGCAGTTTCTGTAGGGTGTGTGTGTGTGTGTGTGTGTGTGTACACACACACATTGGGTACATGTGTGAATGTGTGTGTTTGTTTGTGTGTATATATATGTGTGTTGAGTGGAAAGGGGGTAGCAGAAATTAAATCACAGAGGATTGGGGAATAACCAGGAACCAGGGACACAGAGACAACAGGTGTAACTACTCTTTTTTAAGAAGCAAAGATGTTAGCGGATTACTTTGGAGGGAAACAAAACAAAACAGGAAGTAAGGACGTGAGGGAAGAAAAGAAATGGAGCAAGAACTTGAAAGGGAATCAGGGTCCAGAAGAGGCTCTGTTTTGTTTTATAATGAAATAAACTTGACCATGAGAAGCACTCAGTGGATGAGGGAGAAATGAACACGTCCGTGAGCAAACAGTGAGAACACTGGGCTGGAAGGACCTGGCAGAAATTAGATATGAGTGTTGCTGAAATCGTGATAAAGAGAACAGTCATCACCCCCACTCCCGTGCAAGGCAGAGGCTGTGTGGCTCTAAGGTGGCTTGCCCCTACCACGGTCTCACCTCATGGAGCTTGTCAGCCTTCTGGGTCTGCTTCTTCCGACTTCTCTGAGCAGCAACTCGGTTTTTTTCTCTCCTTCGGACCTTCCTGTCATCATCCTCAGGGCTCTGGGGAAAAACACTGGGTGGGTGTGATGTCGTGGCCCCTCGCCTTACCCTTTTCTGCCCTGTCTCATCACTCAGCGTTGTTCACTGAGCTTCATCATTTGCTTTGCAGTAGACAGCACCACTAGTTGCTATACCAATGGGCTCACAACAGCCCCTTGCCCAGGAGCACTCACCATGTGAGTGTGTGAAGTGTGTGGTGTGACCGCCGTTTAAAAGATGAGGAATAAGAAACTCAGAGAGGTTAAGGACCTTGCTCCAGGTATTACAGCCACTAAGTGGGTGAGTGGGAAGTGGAACTCAGGTCTGTTGGTCTCCAAATCAACGTTCATAAACCTCTAGCCCACAGGGCGTGTGCCTGGAAGAGCTGTGGTGTCAATGTCGTCCATCTGAGACTGGAAAGCTGGGTGGGGGTGGGGGGCGGTGGAGAGATCTGCTATCTGGAACTTGCTGTTTGCCAGTCCTTATACCACCACACATGAAAGGTACTTTTGATACTGCATGCAAATCATGATTACACTTACAACTAATTGCAGCCACATAACTCTACCAACACACCAAATGATCTTAAACCCCACTGACAGTGTACTCATTTGAACAATGCTTGGCTGACATTTTGTTTCAGAAGTCAGCAAATTTTTTATGTGTCTTGAAAGCTGTTAGCTATATGTAAGATTTAACCAAATTCAGTCAAATCCCTCAATAGTGATCATGAAACAGGCAGGCGGAAAAATGCACTGACCATGGTAAAAACACTTCAATCAGCTATAGAAAACATGAAAAAGGAGAGCAGTATTTGCTTTCTAGAACCCCATGAGAAGACACCACCAAGCGGGAAAAATACCACACTTACAGAGTTTAAGAGCCAAGAGGTACAAACAAGGAAAACTACTCAGTTATTAATATTCACGGAATGCAAATATTAATAACACAAAAAAGGATATTTTCAGTTATCATTTGATCTCATCTTGTATTCCACATAAGACACACATCTTCCCAAGTTACTGCAGGTAAGAAGTTTCAGATATGCAAGAATATAAAGGCATAAAAAGGAGAGGAATAAATAACATACATAGCAAATAGAAGCTTAAGGGAACAAAGTATGATAATACAGTCTTCTAGAGAGGCAAAGAAGTCTTGATAAACAAAACCAGAACATTACAGGGGAACATGTGGTTAGAAGACAGCTCTTTAGCTTTAGAATCACACAGATCCTAGTTTTGTCTCTTAGTGTCAACATGGTCTTGTGTAAATGGTTTAAATTCTCTAAATTTTCAGTTTTCTCATTTATTGTAAGCATAATTCATTCATTCTTTCAATATGTATTAACTGAGCACCTACCATGTGCCAGACACTGTTCTAGACACTGGGGATACAAGCCCTAAACAAAGGGTCAGTGAACTCTGCAGACTTGGTGCTAACAGCCTAATGCTTAGGATTGGGATGCGATGAAATGAGATTTTGTCCTAAAGCTCCCAGCATACAGTATGCCCTCAAGAAGTTACCTGCCTTTGTTGAAGTTGCTACTTTAAAAAAAAATGTATTCTGCATAGTGCTTCTCATGCCTCTTTGCTCTCTGTAATCAAAAAGTCACTAGCACAAGAAAGCAGCCTGCATACTGCCCTCGGGGAGCTGACTCTAAACTGGACTCATCACCATGATCACACCTGCCAACCCAGCAGAAACATTTAATCAAGACAGAAAGAGGTGAGCGAAAGTTAGAGATAGTATTATGTTATTAACCATATCTGATTCAGTCTCAAAAATCCTGAGAGGTTGATGTTACTATATTCATTTTACAGATGGGGAAATGGACGGTCCGAGAGGTTAAACAAATTGCTCAAGGCTGCTCAGCCTGTGTGTGGCAAAGCCCAGGCCCAAACTCAGATCTCTGTGACACTCCAGCGACACCTGATGACATGGGCCGGGCGCTGAATTGGGAAGGTGGGGAGTAAGGATGAAAAGACCCAGTCTTCGTCGTAAGGCAGGTGGCCAAGACCCAGGCAAAGTTTCCAGACGGCCGTCCCTGTGGCCAACCTGGTCTCCTTCCTGACTGCGCCGCTGTAAACGTTGCTAGGGGACAGCGAACTGGGAAGGGGCAAAGGGTTTCCACCAGCTGGGGGCGGAGTCGGCCCTTTGTGGGTTCCCTCCGCCCAGGCTGACTAGTCCGGCGTTCTCCATTCCCGCGGCAGCACCCCCCCCACCCGGGGGAATCCTGGAGGGGCTACAGGCGCGGGTGGTGGGGTGGCAGTCGCTGGCTGCGCCAGGATGGGGCGGCCCTCAGGGCAGTGCGGAGCCCACGTGCCGGGGAGCACCGGCCATGCCCGGCCCAGCCAGGCGTCGGCGCCCTCGGGCTTCTTCCCCCAGAGGGCGCAGGAGCTGGCTCAGGAGCCATTCCAGGAGCCGCGGACACTGTGCGCACGACAGGGTCCCTGGATCGCCCCCATTCCCCAACATCCCTACGCCCCTACCTCTGCTTGTCTCCGGCCGCACCCGCCACCTCTGCACCTCCGCAGTCACCACCACGGAACTCCAGCACCCACCTCCTCGCCCCCCGCGGCGCGCCGGTCCCCGCACCCCACGGCCCTCCCTGAGCCTCTCGCCCTCTACCTGCTGCTGCGGCTGCGGCTGCGGCTGGTTCCCGGGCGCCGCGACGCTCCTCTGCAGGACGCTGCCGGCGGCCGGGAGCCCTTGCGACATGCCGGGCGCTCCTCTGGCCCGGCCCGCCCCGCCCCGCCCGCGCGCCCTGCCCGTGGGGCTGCCTACGGGCGCTGTCCCGCCGCCGGCATCCTCGTGCCGCACCCACGGCCTCGCGCCGGCCCCGCCCCCTCAGGCTTCCCGCTCTCCCCGCTACTCCACGCGTCGGCCCAGTGTCCCCGCGCGCCAGTCCCGGCAGCCGTCCTTCCCGTCCCACGTCTGCCCCGCCCTCCTTCTCCCACCCCCGCCTCGTTTCCTCCTCTGCCCGCCCTCTCTCCGCACCTCGGGGTCCCAAATCCCACCCCTGCCGCGGCTTTCCGCCGGCGCCCCGCGCTTCGTGGAAGTCACGTGGTGGCTCTGAAACCCCGGAGGGAACGCGAAGCCCACCCACGCGAGGCGACGCCCGGGGGGGTGGGGACCAGGGGGGCGCCATGCAGCCTTTGGGGTCCTTCGGCGGCTGCCGGGGAACTCAGGTTGAGAAACACAGTGGGTGTTTTGGGGTCGGTGTTTTTTCCCGGTCCCATCGCGGCATCTTCCTGCGCCTCAGCCACGCCCTGCGTCCGCCCCCCGGCGCGGGGGTCACAGTCCCGGGGGACTTTCTCCGCGGCGATCAGTCATCCGGGCGCCACTCTCGCTCCTCCAGCGGCCCCGAAGCCGCGGCTCTGGGGTGAAGACGCCGGCTTCACCGAGTCCCACCGCGCACCCCGAGCCACGGGCGCCCCAGGGACTCTGCAGGGAGTGCCTGCCCTTCCCGTCTCGGGTCCGCCGGGCTGTGGGAGGGAACGAGGCGGGGCGGCCCCGAGGGTGAATTCCCGGAGCGGAGGGTGGGCATGGGGAGGATGTCCCGGACAAAAACGGTGACGGGCTTCCCTGAGAGCGAATCTGCCACGTGGGACGTCACTAGTGACAGGTTTGGGGATCTGGACCCGCCATGCCACGGTTAAACGGCCCAGATCATTTTTCTTTTTCAAGATTTATCTGCTCGTGCCAAGCTGGGGACCGGGTTGAGGTAGGGCAAGTCCCTGTCCACCTGCCTGCCAGTCAAAAGATGCGAAGCCAAGACAATTACCCGTGGTCCTAGCGAAGGAAACACTAGCGGCCACAGGCTGTGGTCTGCATGCTGTGAGCACCGGGAAAGATAACCGCGATTCGGGATGGGCGGGTGGGAACCAGACCAGAAGGGCAGAAGTGCCTACCAAGTGTGGTCGCTTGGGTCTTCAGGTTTGTGGGCAGCAGTGGGCATGGGGACAGTCATTTCCGATTCCTTTTTAAGTCTTAAATGAGTGCACGTGCCCCCCGCCAGGATTTAAGACCCACTCTTGCAAAAGCTTTGAGAGAGCTTGAGTGAACTTGGCTGCCTGGAGGCCAGCGGGAAAGCGAGCGGAGATTCTTGTCTGTGTGATCAGAAGCTTCGGCCAACTGAGAGGCGGGGAGGAAGACGGAGGGTGGACGCAGCCCTTTAGAGTTGCAGCGCCACACTCCACAGCAGCAAGGCTGCGCAGCAGAGCCAGCGCTACGCTGGGTTATCTGCCCGGATTAATCTTTTCCTCTCCGTTATTTCATCACTCAGCTTAACTGGTGGTTGCCCCAGGACTATTTTGCATCCCACAAGGTACCCACACAAGGTGCCTAGCATAGCACGCTACATACACTCAACAGGTGCTCAGTATATGTATTGCACTAGGTCAGCTGAAAGCTCTCATTCCTGAAGCACTAAAAGGGCTCTAACGAGCTAGGAAAACATCTGGGTCAAGGGGTTATCATTTTCAGAAGTGATTTCATTCCCCAGTGTTTTTTATGCACAGAAAAGGCAAGGTAGAAACACCTCGGGAACATTCCCGTGCACTCCTACACTTTATTCTGGTCATGCCCACTTTTCTCACTGAACCACATCACATTTTAAGTCCTTTGGGGCTGCTGCTTCCCTGTCTCTCCCCAGGGAGCCTGAAACCATGTCCCAGCACACACGAACTCTTTATATAGGCATAGTCTACTGTCTTGTGTTACGCAAGGGTTTCTTCAAATACATTTAGTCTTGGTTAACTAGGTAGCATTTAGGGCAGAGATCAATTTGATGTAAAGATCATACATCAAAATGAATGGATTAAATAGCTAGATACAGAAATGAAAATCAGAGAGCTAAAGCAGAATTAAATTCTTATTTAAGTCATGGAAGCATAGGCAACATAGTGAGACCCCCAACTCTACCAAAAATTAAAAGAAATCAACTAGCTGAGTGTGGTGGTGCACACCTGTAGTCCCAGCTACTCAGGACGCTGAGGCAGGAGGATCACTTAAGCTCAGGAGTTTGAGGCTGCAATGAGCTATGATTGCACCACTGCACTCCAGCCTCCAGGGCAACAGAGCAAGACCTTATCTCAAATAAATAAAATAAAGTTGTGGAGATAAGATAAGGAAAGGATCTTATAAGAATACATGTAATAGGAGAAATTGACTTGATAAGATCTGAACTATATAAAAGGGCTAAATTGTTTTAGATGACAGTATAACCAGGAATGTAAAACAAACAGATTGGATAAATACAGTGCATATGAGAAAGGGTTAATATACAGCCCACGAAAAAGAAGAAGAAGAATATTGAGACAACCCGCAAAGGTAAATTGCAGAAGGGATATGAAATGGCATTTCCCAGCAGAAGAAATAATCAAGGAAAATAGGTATAGGAAAATATATATTAAAATAAGAACCCTTTTTAAGTTAGCAAAATAAAAAGTAATATCAAATGCTGGGGAGAGTATGGTGAAATTGGTACTCACATGTTTCACTGGCTTCATTGTAAATTGGCACAAACCTGCTGGAAAGCAGTTTTACTGTCACTTTCAAGAACCATAAAAGAGTCATCACTTTTGACTCAATTTTCCTACTGCTAGAAAATCATCCTAGAAACATCATTGAAAATACTAGGGAGAAAAATACTATATGCACTAGAAGTTCATAATAACATTTTAAGAGTGAAAAATGTAAGCAACATAAATGTCCGATTATAGTTGAATGGCTAAACAGAATATGTTATTGCCACAGGATAGAATGTTATGCATCTTTAAAATTACAAGCATGCAGGCTGGATGCAGTGGCTCTCACCTGTAGTCCCAGCTACTCTAGAGGCTGAAGTGGGAGGATCATTTGAGCCTAGGAGTGCAAGGCTGCAGTGAGCCATGATTGCACCACTGAGTTCCAGTCTGAGCAACAGAGTGATACCCTGTCTCTTAAAAAAAAAATTACAAACATGCAGACAAATTTGCCACTTGGAATGTTTATTTGATCTGAAGTAGAGTGAGAAAAATCAGGATACAAAAAGTACATATATGACATGAACAGTATGTACGAATGTATGCATATGAGAAAAGATTGGAAGAAAACGTACCCTGATGGTAGCCTTTCTCTTATAATGGTGGCATTATAATTTCTTTTACCTGTACTTGTTGAAAAATGGTTTTTATTATGTTAGCATCTTAAAACATTTCATATGTATAAGTGATATAAATATATTTGTATGGCACTAAGCTCACTGGCCTCACCAGAATGCCAGCACTTCTCTGATCAAGTGGTTTGCTCTAATAACAGACTTTTCCTTGCTTTTCTGTAATATCTTCTCGTTTGTTTTATTCTCTTTAGTCAGAAGGAGAAAGAAAAATGAAAGTAAAGAAAAGATAAACAAGAAGAAGCATTTCAAATGTCTCCTTTTCTTCAGCCTTTTATTTTCTTTTTATTTGTATTATTTTCCTTGAACTGGGAAGAGAAATTATATGATTTGGCAATTTCCGATTAATACCACAATTACCCTGGATTACATCTTTGGGGAGGGGGTAGGAGGTGCAAGAGGTTTATAGCTCAGTGACCAAATCCTCTGGTGATTCACTTCACAAAAGACAACCCTTTATAAAAACGCATCACTCCAGTTCTAGCAAACACTGTCACTGGTTCACCTTTGCTTCTCTCTTTTAGGAAAATTGGCCTTTCAGTCATTGTAGTCTCATTGCCCTTCCTTAGAAGGTGGTCCTGCGGGCTCCTGGTGGGGCTGGAGAATAGAAAGCTGAAGGCAGAATCCGCTGTATTTGCCAGAAGTCAGCCACTGTGTGTGGGGCCCTGTTCTAGGCACTGGGATACAGCAGTGGACAAAAAACTGTCCATACCTCCCGGAGCTCTCGTTTCAGCGGAGGAAGGCAGACAATAAACAAAATTTAGTAGTGTGTCAGAGGGTGGTACATTTTATGGCAGAATACAAAGCAGGGAATAGGGACTAGGTGTGGGGAGAGGTGCACTTTTGAATAGGGAGGTCCAGCCAGGCTTCTGGAAGGAGGTGAGAGAGGGAGGGAGCCCTTTGGATACCTGCAGGATGTGGTCCAGGCTGCACCAACAGCAAATGCAGAAGCCCTATGAAAGCCTGCCTGGCACTCCAGAAACTGCAGGAGGCTCATGTGGCTGGAGTGGAGTGAGGAAGGGGTGGAGGCCAAGAGATGAGGTCAAAAAGGCGGTAAGAGCCAGGTCTTGCGGAGCCTCCTGGGCTACTTGCTTCTACTGCGCGTGAGATGGAAAACATTGGAAGCCTTTGGGCTGAGGTATGACGTGATCTGACTTGAGTTTTTTATGAGATCGCTTTGGTTGCTGTGTTAAGAACAGACTGAGAGGGGCAAGGAAGAAACAGGAAATGACGGCAGCAGTCCAGGATAGCTGGGATAGGGGCTTGGGAGATGTTGGGAGTGGGAAGGCCGAGGCAAATTTGCCAGGAAGTTAAAGGGCTTAAGCTTCAGGGCACCTCACTTACACAGGCCCCTGTCACGACAGCTCAGAAGGGGCCCTAGCAATGTGTCCACATGGTGATATATTTTAATAAAATGTGCAAAAAGGGGATATTTAAACCATAAACTGTGAAGGCCACTGTTTCTTTTCACCCCAGCTTCCCCCAGTCTCTTCATATCTAGTGGTATTGCAATGGCTATGGACATTTGAGGGACCTAGCAAAGGAAGGTTTAACCAGATATATTAATATAGTAGGGTATGTGGGTTTCAGAAACTCCTGTATACAGTCACATATTTGCTACACATTTTGTATGGCCTCCAGAATATTCTGACTGCCCACTGTGCTAACTCACTTGACAACATCTATTGTACTGAGACATGCATATATCCTACACTGCCCTGCACCAGACATATATGTATCAAGGTGGTGGAGGGGAGCCCCAGAAGCAGTCTGTGAAAATCCTTCAAATCAACATACGTGTTAAGTTGTAAACAGAGGATTCATTTCTTATTTGCATCTAGTCAAAACCAAATTATCTCCTGTCGGGAATGAAAGCAACAATACAGCTTATACAGTTACAAATTGCATTTTGAAAAACCCAGAGGGGTTTTTTCCTTTGTTATCTGGAGTTGCATATTTGACTTTTTAACTGCTATTGGAAATGTGTTGTGAAACATTTGTTCATACATGAAGAGCACCATCCTTTTTCATCTCTAAATGTATGTGTGTGTTAAAGAACTGAAAGAAAAAATATATATAATTAATGAAATGTAAGAAAGACCTAAGGAAAAGCAATTGAAATCAATAGAAATGTTTCTGATATTAATAAACAATTTGTAACAACATATTTCAGATTATACTAGAAGCAATAGTTTATTCAGAGAAAAAGATAAATGTCAAATGGAAGCAATGAGCAGGCTTTTGGGTTGTTTGATGATTCAATAATGAGGAAGGATGGATCATACAAACACAATAGGAAAATATTTACAATTCTTACTGCTCTCAGCTGAAATATTGACATTGATGAGGATAATACCAAGCTCATAATATGCCAACACGATGAGGACATTTATAACAAATTGGTTAATGAGTGTCATCAATTCTAAGAATATTTAAAATGAATCACAGGAAAAGAAAAATATGAAATACGCTGAAATGTTACAACTCATAAATAAAAAAAATAGAGGTTTTTTCCAAATCTGACAATTCTTTTTGTTTGTTGTTGATGTTGTTGTTGTTGTTTTCGAGACGGAGTTTTCTCTTGTTGCCCAGGCTGGAGTGCAATGTCATGATCTCGGCTCACCACAACCTCCGCCTCCCGGGTTCAAATGATTCTCCTGCCTCAGCCTCCTGAGTAGCTGGGATTACAGGCATGTACCACCACACCCAGCTAATTTTGTGTTTTTAGTAGAGACGGGGATTCTTCATGTTGGTCAGGCTGGTCTCAAACTCCTGACCTCAGGTGATCCACCTGCCTTGGCCTCCCAAAGTGCTGGGATTACAGGCGTGAGCCACCATGCCCGGCCCTACAATTCTTAAAAATTATATGACACTACCAATAAAGAATGTGTTGTGAAGCTGAAACAAAATTATCTGAATATTTTTTACATTAATTTTTCACCCATTACATGGAAAGACTGAATTATCTTTCTAGTCTGTAGAAAATGTTATTATGGAATCATTGTCTTATGAATAGGAGAACAAAAGCATGCTGCCAAAAACTATAGTATAAGAAAAAAGTATTAAAGAGGTATGTGGAGAAGTTAATTGAAACAGTATTCTTCCTGATTTTCTAATATTTTTGGTGTTTGTCAGCTTTTGAAATTTGTAATCTGCTGTACTTTTTTTTTTTTTTTGAGAGTCAGCTTTTGAAATTTGTAATCTGCTGTACTTTTTTTTTTTTTTTGAGACAGAGTCTCATTCTGTTGCCCAGGCTGAAGCGCAGTGGCGCAATCTCAGTTCACTGCAACCTCCACCTTCTTGGGTTTAAGCAATTCTCCTGCCTCAGCCTCCTGAGTACCTGGGATTATAGGCGCCCACCACCACGCCCAGCTAATTTTGTGTGTGTGTGTGTTTTTTAAGTAGAGACGGAGTTTTACCATGTTGGCCAGGCTGTTCTTGAACTCCTGACCTCAAGTGATCCACCCACCTTGGCCTGCCAAAGTGCTGGGATTACAGGCATGAGCCACCTTGCCTGGCCCTGTACTTTTTTTTTAGAATGAGAAAATTACTTTCCTAACTCAGAGCCCTGTTCGACAGTCTGTGACATTGTGGTAGAGATGGGCAGCATCTAATAGCTAGCTAACTTCACAACCTTCCATATTTTCTTTTTTCTTTTCTTTTTCTTTCTTTTCTTTTTTTTTTTTTTTTTTTCTTTGACAGGGTCTTGCTCTGTCATCCAGGCTGGAGTGCAGTGGCATGCTCAGGGCTCACTGCAGCCTCAACTTTCTAGGCTCAAGCAATCCTCCCACCTCAGCCTCCCGAGCAGCTGGGACTACAGATGCACATCACCACACGTGGCTAATTTTTGTATTTTCTGTAGGGACGGGGTCTCGCCATGTTGCTCAGCCTGGTCTCAAACTCCTGGGTTCACGTGATCTTTCCACCTCAGCCTTCCAAAGTGCTGGGATTACATATATGAGCCGTAACGGTCCATATTTTTATGATACTTGGTCATCCGTAATAATACAATCTAGAATCAATTGAAAAGCATAGAGAAGAAACAGATTCTCCATAATCCAAGCATCCACACAGAGATAACTGCTAATATTTTGGCATTTATTGCGTTCCCACTTTTTTCTATGCAAGTATATACTACATATATACTTATATGCATGAAATCATACTCTAGGCCAGGCACAGTGGCTCATGCCTATAATCCCAGCACTGTAGGAGGCCGAGGTGGGCCTCAAGACTCTTGAGGTCAGGAGTTCGAGACCAGGCTGACCAACATGGAGAAACCCCGTCTCTACTAAAAATACAAAATTTGCTGGTCATGGTGGCGCATGCCTGTAATCCCAGCTACTCGGGAGGCTGAAGCAGGAGAATCGCTTGAACTGGGGAGGTGGAGGTTGCGGTGAGACAAGATCATGCCATTGCACTCCAGCCTGGTAACAAGAGCCAAACTCCGTCTCAAAAAAAAAAAGAAAAGAAATCATACTCTGAGCTGCTTTTTCACTTAGTGTTACAGAGCATCTTTTCATGACAATAAATATACACCTGCCATTATTTTAAATATGCACAGTTTCCATAGCAGATATGCCATAGATGGTCTAAGTAAGTCCTTACTATTCTGTTGTTTTTAATTTTTACATATGATGAAACAAGATTGTTAATATCATTGTACTCACGTATGTCTGCACTTGTCTGATTATGGCCTTAGGATTTTTTTTTTTTTTCTGAGATGGAGTCTCGCTGTGTTGCCCAGGCTGGAGTGCAGTGGCGCAATCTCTGCTCACTGCAACCTCTGCCTCCCAGGTTCAAGTGATTCTTCTGCCTCAGCCTCCCAAGTAGCTGGGACTACAGGCACCCACCACCGTGCCCGGCTAACTTTTGTATTTTTAGTAGAGACAGGGTTTCACCATATTGGCCAGGGTGATCTTGAACTCCTGACCTTGTGATCCGCCAGCCTTGGCCTGCCAAAGTGCTGGGATTTATTTATTTTTTTGAAACGGAGTCTCACCCAGGCTGGTGTGCAGTGGCATGATTTTGGCTCACTGCAACCTCCACTGTCATGGGTTCAAGCAATTCTCCTGCCTCAGCCTCCCGAGTAGCTGAGATCACAGGCACGCGCTACCATACCCAGGTAATTTTTGTATATTTAGTAGAGACGGGGTTTGGACATGTTGGCCAGGCTGGTCTCGAACTCCTGACCTCAAGCAATGCACCCTCCTCAGCCTCCCAAAGTGTTAGGATTACAGGCATGAGCCACTGCACCCAGACAGGTGTTAGGTTTAATCACTAGGAATAGAATTGCTGAGAATAAGGAATATTTGTATTTGCAAGGTATTGGACACATATTACCAAATGGCCTTGCAATTAAGAGTCCTGCCAGCACTGTGTGAAAATCGTACTACCTAATTAGGTAACATTTTTAGGTGGGCTACATTTCCAGATCAGAAGAACTCAACTTGTTTCTCAGATCACTTGTTGAATCCTGATGAAGGAGAAGAAATCAGGAACAGATAAATATACGATGGGGACCTCCCCACCCTCCGCCCCCATCCAACTTCCACAGGCAGTTCTACATTGACTCCCTGAAGCTGTGTCCCTGGAGCCCAGGATTCCCCAAGGGGCAGGCAACCTTAGTTCTGCAGCCTAATCCAAAATGCATCACCACATTTGCTCCAACCAAACTTCTCATCTGGCAGGCTTTTCTCTCCCACTTTCACAGAGGAAAGACTAGGAAGAAAGCAAGTCAAACCCGGGTGTTCATCTCACCTCTGCTAAAGAATGGGGGAGTGATTTGGGGGAGAACACTTAATCACATTATGTCAGGTTATTATCCTCTTACTTCCATGCATTGCATTGGTTATGGAAAAGGATAGAGGAAAAAAGAAAAATCTGAAGGAGAAAAAAGTGGGTGGCGGGGAAGAAGAGAGTAAAGAAGGTATTCATGGTGAGATGCCAGCAAGTGACTCTACCTGGGCCATAGAAAGTTCTGGAATAGAGACTGGGAAGTTTAAGTGACTGGTTCTCTGTCCTGGTGTTCTCCCTCTCTCCGTCTCTCTCCTTCCCTCTTATGCTCCCTCCCTCTCCCTCCCTTCCTCTTCCTCTCCTTCCCTGTCTCCAAGGAGACCAACCTCTCTCCTGGGCCTCTCCTGGGATATCCCACAGACATCTCAGACTCGGCATACTCAGCATTAAGTTTATTATCAAACCAAATGTGCTCCTCTTCATGCACCATCTCAGGGACCTGTGCCAAAGGCTGCCCAGCCACTGGGGTGGAGGGCATGGCCACATTTTCTGTAGACCCCACACTCAGTCTCTATAGCTATAGCACCTACTCTGGGGCTGAGCCAGGTTTTGTGGGGCCTAAAGCTGATACTACTAGGAGCCGCCTCTTTAAGAAAAATCATTCAAATCTAGATATTCAAGTTAAATGTTAAGTAGAATGAGAAAATAAATCTTAACAAAATATTGCAAATATAAAATTCCAGAAGATTGCATACTTATTTTCATTAATGGCTAACACACTCTACTGTGTCTGTTTTTGGCTGCAAGCTTTTTGACCACCTCTTCATATAACAATGCTTTTGAAAGTTATTTTTATAGAGATAATAGAAAGATAACTCACTCTTGTAATTGATTAAAATTATATTTTTGATATTTGAGATTACATAAATCATGTGATTGATTCTACCCAGAGGTATAGTTGCTGATCACTCACCAAAATTCAGGAATTCCAATCAGTTCTATTTTCTATGATTCCCATCAAAGAGTATATACAGGCCAGTCACAGTGGCTCACGCCTATAATCTCAACACTTTGGGAGGCTGAGGCAGGAGGATTGCTTGAGCCCAGGAGTTCAGAGACCAGCCTGGGCCACAAAGTGAGACCACATGTCTCCAAAAAAAAAAAAAAACAAACAGAATCCTACATGTTTACTTATCTAATGATTGGAAGCCTCTGCCACCAGCTAGCTTCCACTGCATATATTTCAAACCTCCACTGCCCACTTACTTCTGTTTTTGGCACTGTAGGACATGTTCATATCCAATCACCTCTGGCCCTGCACCTCGGCATCTCCATGCCAGGTAAGTTGGCTTGGTGTGTGTTAGGAGTATGTATCCTGGAAGCTTCGCTTTCACCAGTATCCTAGCAATAGCAACTCTACTCCCAAGTGAAACCCAAACTCACTGCAAACTCATCCAACTCCCCTTCTCTCTCTCAAAAATGCCCATGGCCACCCATGCCACCTGCCCTGAAAGAATATATGTCAAAGGGAAGGCTGGAGTGGAAAGAGACAGCAATCTTAATTCATTGAAGTCGAAATATCTTTCTTTTGCAAATTTTGCAAAATAAAATTTGTCTAGGTGAACACAGTACTGTGTCACCTCCCAGGGCCTGGGAAGTGGATGGGCTGAAGCTTAAACGTTAGTAGCTTCACAGTGAGTCCATCTTCACTTCTGTCTTCGCAACATCTCTATTCCTCTTCCTTTCATCTCCTTCCTCCCTTCCTTCCTCCTTTCATCTGGGCCACAGCAACAGCCCTGTGACAGGCCTTCCTTCTGCTCTCAAGGGCCTCCGGCCCATCTGACCTGCAAATTTGTCATGTGACTCCAGTATTTAAAATCCTGCCAGGATGTAGCCCAGCGGCTCTGCTTGGCCTCCAAGGCTTTCTCTAGAGGCTGCTCTGACTTTCCCTTCCCCGACTCGCCTCACCCTCATGCTCATGAAATAGAAGGACTGCTTAGGAACCTCTAGACCATGCCAGGATGTCTCTACTCTCTATGGCTTTTGTCTTTCTCGGTCCCTCTTCTTTTCTCCACGCTTATCCCTTCCCGACCCCTAACTCAGTCGGCTTCATGAACACGTACTCCTCTTTCAAGAAGTAGCTTCAACATCTCTCCCTCCAGAAAGCCTTTCCTTGACAATCAGGTAGAATTAACCACATATTTCTTTTTTCCACTACTCTACTTTGTTATAAAGTTTTTTAAATTTTGTTTTTATTTAATAAGAAATATATGTGAAGGAAGCAAGTACAGAAAAACATTTTTTAAAAGAAATATATGAATGCATTCCCAGAATAAAATGGAATTTAACCATTACAGATAAATTGAAAGTGATCAGCACTTTTTTTTTCTTTCCTGAGATGGAGCCTCCTTCTGTTGCCCAGGCTGGAGTGTAGTGGTATAATCTCAGCTCACTGCAACCTCTGCCTCCCGGGTTCAAGCGATTCTTGTGCCTCAGACTCCTGAGTAGCTGGGACTACAGGCGCCCGCCACCACACCTGGCTAAATTTTTGTATTTTTAGTAGATACAGGGTTTCACCATGTTGGCCAGGCTGGTCTCGAACTCCTAGTCTCAAGGGATCCGCCTGCCTCGGCCTCCCAAAGTGCTGGGATTACAGGGGTGAGCCATCGTGCCCAGCTATGATCATCACTTTCAATTCTGGTCATTAATTTTGTGTGTATCCTTCCAGATTTTATAATATGTATATACATACTCCTCATTTACAAATCTGTCTCCTCCTCCTAGATTACAAACCATATGAGGACAAAGGCAATGTCTTCATTATGCTGGCCCCTCCCAACTCAGTGCTAGCTGTAGTAATAACCAGCACTAGAAATGATGCATTGAAGCGCAGACAATTGAAGAAACTTGCCCACGTTACCCAGAGAAGTGACTGGGCTGGGATTCAAACTCAGGCAGAGCATGCACTTAATACAATTTTAATTGGTCAATAATGAATAAATAGTCATGTTGCAGCAAGTGACATTTGGATTAGATAGAAGAGTTACCCCAAAAAGAGGTCCAGCACATACTATCAAAGTACACATGAGAATGTTTAATGACTTCTACGTGCATCATGGTGGCATACTTCATTCAAAAATTAAGAAAGTATTATTACCATTATTTTTGAGACAGAGTCTTGCTCTGTTGCCCAGGCTAGAGTGCAGTGGTGGGATCTTTGCTCACTGCAGCCTCCGCCTCCCAGGTTCAATCGATTCTTGTACCTCAGCCTCGTGAGTAGCTGGGATTACAGGGGTGCGCCACCACTCCCGGCTAATTTTTGTATTTTTGGTAGAGACGGGGTTTTGCCATGTTGGCCAGGCTGGTCTCTAACTCCTGGCCTCAAGAGATCCACCCACCTTGGCCTCCCAAAGTGCTGAGATTACAGGCGTGAGCCACCACAACCAACAATAACTTATTTTTTCTTATTTTCCCCAATTTTGTTTCTAAGGGAGAGGCGCCTAGCAAAAATGTGTTTTTGCTAAAATCATGTAATGCTGGTTTCTACTGAAGCCCTAAATGATGCCACACCATAGGAATTCTAGTAGTGTAGTATCTGAAGAGATTGCTCATTATCCTGTTTTAAACCATGAATAAGATATGTGCCATTTGTGACGTACTTAAAAAAATAATTTCACTCATTTCCTGTAGGACCTACTACCACCTACAACTGATTTGCATTTTCTTGGATCCATTTCCAACTTCTTGTGCCTGGCACAGAGCTGTGCTCACAATCCTGGTCACACATCTGCTGAATGAATAAACCACAAATGACTTCTACTGACAGCAGTGGATTTCCTTAGAAAGACACTAACAACTTTGGTAGTTCCCCTAACACTCAAAGTGGATGCCTGGGGCTGTTTCAAGAAATCTCTTTTCTTTCTTAACAATAGCCCATGCTCTTTGATAGTTTAGGGCAGAAAGAGCCTTAGGCCAGTGGTTCACGCTTGTAATCCCAGCACTTTTAGGGGCTCAGGCAGGAGGATTGCTTGAGCCCAGTGGTTTGTGATCAGCCGTGCAACATGGTGAGACCCCATCTCTATGAAAAATGGCACACACCTGTAATCTCAGCTACTTGGGAGGCTGAGGCAGGAGATTGCTTGAGCCCAGGAGTTGGAGGAAATGATCATGCCACTGCACTCCAGCCTGGGCAACAGAGACTGTCTCAGGAAAAAAAAAAAAATTAGCATCTCAGTCTTCTTTTCAAAAAAGCAGAGCCAGTTTGTTATTTCCCTCCAATAGACCTCACGTAGGCAAAATTGGATTAACCTTTATCCTTGGTTCCTGCTACTCTGACATTGTTGTTTCATGAATATACTTCTTGTGTTTATTTATTACTCATTTGTTTGTTAATAATATAACAGACATCTCTAAACTCATCACCTAATCCAAGAACCAGAACACTGACAATCCCTTTTATTTACCTCTGTTCTCTTCACTATTCCAGCCCCTTTCTCCCCCATCTGTCTATCCTAAATTTTGTGTTTATAGTTTTGTCACATTTTAAAAATTAAACTTTTTTATTTTGACATATTTGTAGACTCTCTTGCAGTGAAATCCCATGTGCCCTATACTCAGTTTCCCCCAATGGTAAAATCTTGCAAACCTATGTTCTGTATGATATGACAATCAGAAAGGATATTTACATTGATACAGCCAAGACACAAAACGTTTCCATCACCACGAGGATCTCTCCTGTTGCCCTTTCTTAGTCGCAACCACTTCTTGCTCATGCTTTGCCCACCCGCTCCTTTACCCCTGGTGACCACAAATCTGTTCTCCATTTCTGTAATTTGGTCATTTCAAGAACATTATATAAATGTAATCCTACAGCACATAACCTTTTGAGATTGGCTTTTCTTCACAATTCTCTGAGGATTTCATGGAAGTTGTTGCCTGTATCAATAGTTTGCTCCTTTTTTGTTGCTGAGTAGTATTCCATATACGGCAGGGATGTACCACAGTGTGTTTAACCTTGTCAAGGACATCTGGGCTGTTTTCTAGTTCTTGGCTATTACAAATAAAACTGCTATAAACATTTGTGTATCTGGGCATGGTGGCTCATGCTTGTAAGTGCCAGCACTCTGGGAGGCCAAGGCAGGAAGATTTCATCAGCTCAGGAGCTCTAGACCAGCCTGGGCAATATAGTGAGACCTTGTCTCTAATAAATAAATAGATAAATTAGCCACGCACGGTGGTGCATGTCTGTAGACCCAGCTACTCAGGAGGCTGAGGCAGAAGGATTGCTTGATCCTAGGAGGTGGAGGTTTCAGTGAGCCATGATCATACCACTGCACTTCAGCCTGGGCAACACGGTGAGACTCTGTCTCAAAAAAAAATTGGGTACAGAGTTTTGTGTAAACATAAGTCTTCATTTCTTTGGGATAAATGCCCAAGAGTGCAATTGCTGGGACACTTGGTAGTTGAACATTTAGTTTTCTAAGAAACTGCCAATGTGTTTTCCAGAGTGGAGGTATATTTTTAATTCCCACCAGCAATATGTGAGTGATACAATTTCCCTGCATGCTCTCCAGCATTTGATATTGTCATGATTTTTTATTTTATTCATTCTGATAGGTGTGTAATGATATCTTATTATGGTTCTAAATTGCATTTTCCTATTGACTATTAATGTTGAACATCTTTTCAGGTGTTTATTTGTCATCCATATATGCCGTTTCATGAAATGTTTATGTCTTTTGTGCATTTTATAATTATGTTGCTTGCTGTTTTGCAGTTCAGAGTTCTGAGAGGCTTTTTTGTTTTTTTTCAAAGTCTCATTCTTTTGCCCAGGCTGGATTGCAGTGGTGCAATCACGGCTTGCTGTAGCCTCAATCTCCTGGGCTTATGTGATCCTCCCACCTCGGCTTCCCAAGTAGCAAGGACTATAGCTGTGTGCCACCACTCCTGGCTAATTTTGTTTTGTTTTGTTTTGTTTTTTACTTTTTGTAGAGATACAGTCTCTTTATGTTGCCCAGTCTTGAACTCCTGGGTTCAAATAATCCTCCTGCCTTGGCCTCCCAAAGTGTTGGGATTACAGGCATGAGCCACCATGCCTAGCCAAGAGTTATTTATATATTCAAGATACTAATCTTTTGTCAGATACACGGTTTGCAAATATTTTCTCCCACTTTATAGCTTGTCTTTTCATCCTTTTAACAACATCTTTCAAAAGGCAAAATCTTTAATTTTAACGAATCCAATTTATCCATTTTTAAAAATGAATGATGCTTTTGGTGTCAAGTTTAAGAACTCTTTGCTTAGCCCTAGATCCTGAAGATTTTCTCCTAGTTTTTCTAAATGCTTCAGTTATATATTTGATATTTAAGTGTGTGACCCATGTTAATTTTTCCATAAAGCGTGAGACTTAGGTGGATGTTCCTTACTTTTTTTTTTTTTTTTTTTTTGAGACAGGGTCTCACTCTGTTGCCCAGGCTGGAGTGCAGTGGTCCGATTTAGGCTCAAACTGCAACCTCCGCCTCTCGGGTTCAAGCAATTCTCATGCCTCAGCCTCCCACATAGCTGGGATTACAGGCATGCACCACCACACATGGCTAATTTTTGTTTTTTTAGTAGAGACGGGGTTTTGCCATTTTGGCCAGGCTGGTCTTGAACTCCTAGCCTCAAGGGATCTACTGCCTCAGTCTCCCAAGGTGCTGGGATTACAGGCATGAGCCACCAAACCTGGCTGGTTGTTTGTTTCTTTTACCCATGGATGCTCAATTGTTCCAGTACCATTTGTTGAAAAGACTTATCTTTCCTCCTTGAATTGCTTTTGCACCATTGACAGAACTCAGCTGGCCATATTTGTGTGAGTCTACTTCTGGGTTCTCTATTCTGTGTGGTCTTGATCTGTGTGTCTACCTCTCTGCCAATATCCCACAGTCTTCACTATAGCTATATAATAAGTCTTGAAATTGGATAGACTGAGTCTCTCTACTTTCTTCTTTTTCAAGATTGGTTTAGCTATTCTAATTCCTTTGCCTTTCCATATACATTTTAAAATAATCTTGTGTATATGTATTTTGGGATTTTACTTACTTACTGGGATTTTGATAGAAATTACATTAAATATGTGTATAAATCTGGAGCGAATTGGCCAGATTGAGTCTTCCATCCATGGACATGTTGTGTCTCTTCTTTATTTATATGTTTGACATCCTTCATCAATGTTTTGTAGCTTTCAGCAAATAAGTCCTATACATGTTTTGTTAGGTTTACACTCAACCACTTTTTGTTGAGTGATTGCAAATGGTATTGTATTTTTATTTATGTGTCCACATGTTCATTGCTAGTATAGAGAGATACAACTGATTTTTGTAGGTGTATCTTATATCCTGTGACCTTGCTAAACTCATTTGTAAGTTCTAGGAGTTTTTGGTGCATTCCTTGGGATTTTCTGTGTAGACAATCATGTCATCTGCAAATAGGACAGTTTCATTTCTTCCTTTCTGATCTATACAGTTTTTCTTTTATTTTCTTTCCTTATTTCACCAACTAGAATTTCCAGCACTATGTTGAATAAACTTCTGAGAGTGGACATTTTTGCCTCGTTCCAGATCTTAGAGGAGAAAGCATTCCATCTGTTATCATTAAGTATAATAATACTAGCTGTGGGGTTTTTGTAGCTGTCCTTTATCAAATTGAGGAAGTTCCCCTCCATTCCTACTTTTTCTGGGAATTTTTATCATGAATCATTGTTGATTTTGTTTTCAAATGCTTTTTCTGTATCAATTGATATGATCATGTGATTTTTCCTCTCTAGACTATTAATATGGTAGATTACATTGATTTTCAAAAATTTAACCAGACTTCCATTCCTGGAATACACTCTGCTTAGTTATAAATTTTTTTTCTTTTTTGTTTTGAGACAGAGTTTCGCTCTTGTTGCCCAGGCTGGAGTACAATGGCGCGATCTCGGCTCACTGCAACCTCCACCTCCCAAGTTCAAGCGATTCTCCTGCCTCAGCCTCCCGAGTAGCTGGGATTACAGGCATGCGCCACCAAGCCTGGCTAATTTTGTATTTTTTTTTTTTTTTTGGTAGAGATGGGATTTCTCTGTGTTGGTCAGGCTGGTCTCGAGCTCCCAACCTCAGGTGATCCACCCACCTCGGCCTCCCAAAGTGCTGGGATTACAGGTGTGAGCCACTGCACCTAGCGAATTTATATATATACACTGCTGAATTCTTTATATTGCTCAAATCCCTTAGCTGTAATAGGACTATTAAAATTATTTCATATTGGGTGAGTTGTGATGGTTTGTGTTTTTCAAGGAATTGGTCCATTTGATCTAAGGTGTCAAATCTATGTGTGTTTCATTGTCCTTAGTATTCTTTTATTATCCTTTTGTTATCTGCAAGTTCTCTAGTGATAGTCCCTGTTTCATTTTTGATATTAGTGTCCTTTGTCTTCTCTCTTTTTTTCCTTGTTGGTCTTGCTAGAGGTGTATCAATTTCATTGATCTTTTCAAAGAATCAGCTTTTTGTTTCAGTGGTTTGCTTTATTATTATTATTTTTTTTACCAGCGTCATTGATTTCTGCTCTTAATATTATTTTCTTATTTCTGCTTGCTTTGGGCTTATTTTGCTCTTCTTTTTTAGGTTCTTGTGGTGAAAGTTTTGAAACATTTCGTGCTATAAATTTCCCTCTTGGCACTGCTGTAGCACAAATTTTGATATATTGTGCTTTCATTTCCATTTAGTTCAAGGCATTTTATAAAAAGTTTCTTTTGAAACTTCCTATTTGACCCATGGATTATTTAGAAGAGTGTTATCTTGTTGTCCTCTTACCTTTCTGTTATTGATTTCTAGTTTCATTCCACTGTGGTCAGAGAATACACTCAGTATGATTCTAATTCTTTTAATTTATTGAGGTTTGTCTTATGGCCCAGGATATAGTCTATTTTGGTATACATTTCATGGGTACTTGTAATGAATGTATATTCTTCTGTCATTGGGTGGAGTGTTCTATAAATATAGATTTGATCCTGTTTGTTGATGATGTTGCTGAGATCTATAGACTTGCTGATTTTTTTGTCTAGTGGTTCTATCAACCATTGTCAGATTTCTTAATTTTTGCCCATCTAGGAGGTGTAAAATGTTATCTTATTGTGATCTTAATTTGCATTTCCTTGAGTTCTAGTGAGATTGGTTATCAAATTATGTTTTTATCCCTAATTGTACTTTTAAAAATATATCATTGATACTTTACCAATGATATAGCTTATGAGGTTGGTGCAAAAGTAATTGCGGTTTTTTGCCATAAAAGTAATGGCAAAAGCCACAATTACTTTATACCAACCTAATAATTATTCAAATTTATTGCTTTATTTTTCCTTGTTTTTTCCTGTTTTTGTTTTGGTTTTGGTCTTGTTTTTACATATGTAGTGACCTCTGCCAATGGATCTGAATAGAGATGGGTAATTCTCCTTGTGTATCTCTACCTGGGACAGTGCCACAAACAATTAGACACACACTTAGGTCAAAACCCTTCAATTATTCCCCATATTGTGACAAATATAATCCAAAACTTTAGGCTGACTTTTAAGTCGTATATGGCACACTTTAAATTTACCTAATCCAGCTGTGTCAATGCCTCCCTATTTCCCAGCTTAGCTTGTTCCTCCCTCCACGATTTTGGCCATGTCATTTTCTTTGAATACAGTGCTGTCAACCAAAATCCTATTTACGCTTTAAATGTGGCTCAAATGCTCCCTCTATGGAGACTTTCTTGATCATTCCAACTGGAAGTGATTGCCTTCTTCCTCTTAACAACAGATTATAGAACGTCTGTCATATAATGACTGCATGGTTTGGTATCATAATGCACACAGCTGGGAAACCACTGGGTGGTCTCAGTGATTCAGAGCAGAAGTGTCTTATTGTTTCTTTACATCTATTTTATTGACTTGTAGGTGAAGTGCCTTTCCTTTATTAATAGTCTTTTTTTTTAGATGGAATCTCACTCTGTTGCCCAGGCTGGAGTGCAGTGGTGCGATCTCAGCTCACTGCAACCTCCGCCTTCCAGGTTCAAGTGATTCTCCTGCCTCAGCCTCCTGAGTAGCTGGGATTACAGGTGTGTACCACCACGCCCTGCTAGTTTTTGTATTTTTAGTAGAGACGGGGTTTCGCCATGTTGACCAGGCTGGTGTCGAACTTCTGATAACCTCAGGTGATCTGCCTGCCTCAGCCTCCCAAAGTGCTGGGATTACAGGCGTGAGCCACTGTGCCTGGCCTCTTTTATTAATATTCTAACTCACGTAGTGAACATTGTTAAAATTCCATCTCAAATGACTATATCCACCAAAAGTGGTGTATTGGATAAACTGCCAACTTGTTCAGCAGAAATATTACTAATATGATAGATTGGAGGAATAAATTATTCAGAATGCTGATAAACTCATGCTATGAAGTGATTTCCACATACATGTCAGTTAGATGTGGGAGATGAACTACCAGTAGCAAAACAACCGACAAAATGTATTTTACTTGTGTATTTATTTATTTTAGATCCAAGGGATATGTTTGCAGGTTTGGTACATGAGTAAATTATATGATGCTGAGGTTTGGGTTTCTAAGAATCCCATCCCCCAAGTAGTGAACATAGTACATGATAGGTAGTTTTTCAACCCATTTCCCCTCCCTCCCCTACTCCTTTTGGAATCCCCAGGGTTTATTGTTCCCATATTTGTGTCCAAGTGTACCCAATGTTCATCTCCCACTTATAAGTAAGAACATGATAGTTCATTTGATTTTCGGTTTCTGCATTAAATTGCTTAGGATAAAGGCCTCCAGTTGCATCCATGTTGCTGTAAAGGATGTGATTTCATTCTTTTTCATGGCTGTATAGTAATCCGTGGTGTATATGTACCACATTTTCTTTATCCAATCCACCATTAATGGGCACTTAGGTTGATTCCATGTCTTTGCTGTTGTGAATAGTGCTGTGATAAACATATGAATACAGGTATCTTTCTGATAGAATGATTTATTTTCCTTTGGGTATATTCCCAGTAATGGATTGCTGAGTTGAATGGTAATTCTACTTTTAGTTTTTTGAGAAATCTCCAAACTGCTTTCCACGGGAACTGTACTAATTTGCATTCCCAGCAACAGTGTATAAGCATTCCCTTTTCCATGAAACCTCACTAACATCTGGTTTTTTTTTTTTTACTTTAATAACAGCCATCCTTACTGGTATGAGATGGTATCTCATTATGGTTTTGATTTGCATCTCTCTGATGATTAGTGGTGTTGAGCATTTCAAAAAATCTATTTTAAAAGTCTGACTTTTGGCCAGGTGCAGTGGCTCATGCCTGTAATCCCAGCACTTTGGGGAGGCCGAGGCAGGCGGATCACCTGAGGTCGGGAGTTTGAGACCAGCCCGACCAACATGGACAAACCCCGTTTCTACTAAAAATACAAAATTAGCCGGGCGTGGTGGCGCATGCCTGTAATCCCAGCTACTTGGGAGGCTGAGGCAGGAGAATCACTTGAACCCGGGAGGCAGAGGTTGCGGTGAGCCGAGATCACACTATTGTACTCCAGCCTGGGCAACGAGAGCAAAACTCCGTCTCAAAAAAAAAAGTCTGACTTTTATTGTGAGTCAAAGTGGGCAACACTCCACCGAATTTTGAACTTTTGTATCTTCAAGCTAGTTAGCCGATGGCAGATTTTGGAGTAATTATTGTTAGCTGATAGTTTCAGTGGTCTGCATAATATAAAGGGATTTACAAAGACTAAGTCTAAATACACCTTTATATCATTATTATTTTATTATTATTATTATTATTTACAAAGTTCCCAAGAGCTAGAATGTTATGTCATTTTTTAAAGTAAGTGATTTCAGGCAAGTTTCATACAACATATCTATATATAAAAGTAGCCATGAATTTTTATATTTTGCATGGATACAATTTTATATACCAGGCGATTCCAGACTTTATTAAAAATTGAATCATAAATTTTTAAGTCACAGAAGACTAGAAGAGATTCCTAAAAATGAAGATTCTCATTATAAAAAGGGACACCACAGAAAATTTAAAAATTCAGAAAACAGCAATAATTATTGATCATTAATAATAAATTATATATTTAATTAATACATAGTGAAAATAATTCAGTTATTGTTACCACCAATAATCCCTTTACCCAGAGGCAACTGCTGATAACATAGATCTTAGAGAGATTGTCCTAGATCTTTTTTTGGTTTGCGTCTAGGCAAGATTATACCTGAGGTTTGGTTTTTGTTTTTCTTTTAACGAAGGACTCTGCACTGCTTTCAGCGTTCCAGGACTTAACAACACGGATGATCGGCAGTTCTTTGCGTTTATTTTTGGTCCTACATGTTGTTCTTCAAACCCATTTCCTCTTGTTCTTTCCCCAACAGAGGCAGAGAAGTGTTGGCCTCGAGCTCTGCCTATGATTTTCCTGCAGAACTAAACTACCACACCTTAACCTGCTCTCCTCAGGGGTGAATCAATTCAGTGTCTTTCCTCTTGGCAGGTGAGTCTCATTCTCCAATTGTTTTGCCACTTTGGGGCATCCCCTGAGCCTTCTGAGAGGTTGAGCGCAAGGCATATTTCTTCTAACAACTAGCTCACTTTATTGACATTCACCTACCTGAAAGCAGGAAGCTGGATCAGATAACTTTGGGGACTTCCTTTCAGTTTTGACTTTATGTGCGCCCTCTCGGGACCTGGCTTAGGATTCTGCTCATGGTAAATATTTGGTAAGCCTTACTGGTTGTATGACTCATGAGTGTGGTTCCTAATAAGAGTCACAGAAAACAGTAAAAGCAGTTCCAGGAATTTGCTGCTTACTCAGTAGTGGTGGATGCAGCAGGGAAAATAATGCAGGCTTCCTGCCCATTTCCCAGCCACTTCTCCGTATATGCACCTGGTCACAAAGGGATGGTCACAAAGACCATAAGACAGACCCCAGAGACCCCAGGCAACGTGTTCCCTGGCAGGGAGTGTGTCCTGCGGATGGTGTTCCTCAAGGAGCACAGGCTTCTTAGGGGCGGCTTTCACTCAACTTGGAAGGGAGGTCTAGGTAGAGGGGTTCACTCAAGTGGACTCCTTCTCATTTCCTCGTTTCTTTCTAAGGAAGCCACTTTTAAGTGTGATGGCATTGAGACTGTGTATTGCTGCACCCCAGTGCCAGTGAACCTATGAAATACAGCCGTGCTCACTCTGTGCCTCACATGGAATCTCTCTAGAAGTAACTGGGAGGCCAGAGCAGGAGGGAGCCCAAGCAGTGGAGTGATGGGGCCAAAATGATCATCTTTTGAGAGCTCAGACTCATCAACATTCAACCTTTGCAGAGGCACTCAAGGCCTTTACTTTTGCAGAAAGTGCCTGAACTAGTCTGTCAAACACCTTCCAAAACTGGCCCTTTATTCTTTGGAAAGTTATTCACTACTCCCGTTATTCATCTTGCTCTTGTGTCTCTGACGTTTTATTTAAGCTCATACCACTTGCTCAGAACACCCCCAATCAACCTCTATCTTCTCTCATCATTCTCAGGGCTCCTGAAATTACCTCTTCCAGGAAGTCTTCCCTGACTAACAAGAACAATGAAACTTCCTGGCTTCCTTCTACACTAACCGCTCTCCTCAAATAACTTCCTTTTTGTTTTCACAGAACATAAATGCTTCAATTTATTTATTAGTTTAATGTGTGTTTTTAGACTCTCAGGAAGGATGTAATTATAGATGATGACTTCTGAGAAGTAGGATGGTGTCCAGCTTGATGTGCAAATGGCCCCAACATATCAGCAGCAAACAAAGGCTGTTGCCACAGGTGTGACTTTGCAAGTAATTGCTCAGACTTTGCCTTCAGAACCTGTTCTATATTTCCAGTGGTGCTGCTTATATGTGCAGCATTAGCCAGATTCTTCAGTAGTATTCATTCAACAAATGCTTATTGAGAGCCTTTTATGAGCCAAGTACTGTTAGGTACTGGAGATGTAGTGCCCATTGAATTTTTCTTTGAGAAATTTTATTTTTACCAAGCTCCCAAGAGGTAGAACTTTATGTCATTTTTAAAGTAAGTGATTTCAGGCAAGTTTCATAAAACAAATCTATATATAAAAGTCACCCAGGCTGCAGTGATCTCAGCTCACTGCAACCTCCACTCCCCACCACTCCCCCACCCCGCCTGCCAGCTCAAGTGATCCTCCCACCTCAGCCTCCCAAGTGGCTGGGACCACAGGCGTACACCACCACACCCAGCCTTTTTTTTTTTTTTTTTTTTTTTTTTAGTAGAAATTGGGTCTCACCATGTTGCCCAGGCTGGTCTCAAACACCTGAGCTCAAGTTATCCACCCACCTCAGCCTCCCAAAGTGCTAGGATTACAGGCATGAGACACTGTGCCTGGCTGAAATTTTTAAGATTATTGTGGTGGACCACCAATTTGGTGGCCCACACTGAACTATTTCTCTAAGTATTTATACCCTTGTGTAGTCTCCTATCCCTCTTGATTTTGAGCTGGGCTGTGATCTGCTTTAATTAACAGGATATAGTAGAAGTGGTGTTGTGCCAATTCCAGGTGTAAGGCCACGAAGAGCTGGCAGTTTCTGCTTTTGTGGTTTTGAGATCCCTTAGCTACCATGAGCAAAGACCTGCTACTCTGCTGGAGAAACTGTGTGGAGAGTCCACTTGGAAAGGGAGTGGCTCTGAGACTACAGGGAAAGGGAGAGAAGCTCAGACATTCCAGTGTCCCAAAGAACCCAGTCTCCAGCCAACCCAACTGAATACAGACACATGAGTGAACACCAGCAAGACCAGCAGACCATCCAGCTAAGCCCAGCTCAGATTATAGAATTGTGAGCAAATAACCACTTGGTTGTTTTAAGCCACTAGTTTGGGGATTTCTTTTTTTTTAATACGAGCAACTGGTAACTTAAAAATCTCATCACTTCTGAAGACAGGAGAGTAATATACGATCTTCCAAAGCAGTTTCAAGATAATTTGATAGATTACATGTTTAGACATTTAAAATCAAGCAGAGGCCAGGTGTGGTGGCTCACACCTGTAATCCTAGGCATTTTGGCAGGCCAAGGCAAGAGGATCATTTGAGCCCAGGAGTTCGAGATCAGCCTGTACAACACAGTGAGACCTCGCCTGTACAAACAAACAAACAAACAATCAACAAATAAAATAAAATAAAACAAGCAGAGTCATGGTAGCAATAAACCTTTTAAAAAAACCTAGCCCCCTCCCCCTCTCCCTCTCCCTCTCCACGGTCTCCCTCTCCCTCTCTCTCCACGGTCTCCCTCTTCCTCTCCCTCTCTCTCCACGGTCTCCCTCTGATGCCGAGCCGAGGCTGGACTGTACTGCCGCCATCTCGGCTCACTGCAACCTCCCTGCCTGATTCTCCTGCCTCAGCCTGCCGAGTGCCTGGGATTGCAGGCGCGCGCCGCCACGCCTGACTGGTTTTCGTATTTTTTGGTGGAGACGGGGTTTCACTGTGTTGGCCGGGCTGGTCTCCAGCTCCTGACCGTGAGTGATCTGCCCACCTCGGCCTCCCGAGGTGCCGGGATTGCAGACGGAGTCTCGCTCACTCAGTGCTCAATCTTGCCCAGGCTGGAGTGCGGTGGCATGATCTCAGCTCGCTACAACCTCCACCTCCCAGCCACCTGCCTTGGCCTCCCAAAGTGCCGAGATTGCAGCCTCTGCCCGGCCGCCACCCCATCTGGGAAGTGAGGAGCGTCTCTGCCTGGCCGACCATCGTCTGGGAGGTGAGGAGCCCCTCTGCCCGGCCGCCCAGTCTGGGAAGTGAGGAGCGCCTCTTCCCGGCCGCCATCCCGTCTAGGAAGGGGGGAGCATCTCTGCCCGGCCGCCCATCGTCTGAGATGTGGGGAGCGCCTCTGCCCCGCCGCCCCGTCTGGGATGTGAGGAGCGCCTCTGCCCGGCCGCGACCGCATCTGGGAACTGAGGAGTGTCTCTGCCCGACTGCCACCCCGTCTGGGAGGTGAGGAGCGTCTGAGAAGTGAGGAGCCCCTCCGCCTGGCAGCCGCCCCGTCTGGGAAGTGAGGAGCGTCTCCGCCTGGCAGCCGCCCCGTCCGGGAGGGAGGTGGGGGGCAGCCCCCGCCCGGCCAGCTGCCCCGTCCGGGAGGGAGGTGGGGGGCAGCCCCTGCCCGGCAGCCGCCCCGTCCGGGAGGTGGGGGGCGCCTCCGCCCAGCCGCTGCCCTGTCTGGGAGGTGGGGGGCGCCTCTGCCCGGCCGCCCCCTCTGGGAAGTGAGGAGCCTCTCTGCCCAGCCGCCACCCCGTCTGGGAGGTGTACCCAACAGCTCATTGAGAACAGGCCATGATGACGATGGCGATTTTGTCGAATAGAAAAGGGGGAAATGTGGGGAAAAGAAAGAAAAATCAGATTGTTACTGTGTCTGTGTAGAAAGAAGTAGACACAGGAGACTCCATTTTGTTCTGTACTAAGAAAAATTCTTCTGCCTTGGGATGCTGTTAATCTATAACCTTACCCCCAACCCCGTGCTCTCTCAAACATGTGCTGTGTCAACTCAGGGTTAAATGGATTAAGGGCGGTGCAAGATGTGCTTTGTTAAACAGATGCTTGAAGGCAGCATGCTCCTTAAGAGTCATCACCACTCCCTAATCTCAAGTACCCAGGGACACAAACACTGCGGTCGGCCACAGGGTCCTCTGCCTAGGAAAACCAGAGACCCTTGTTCACATGTTTATCTGCTGACCTTCCCTCCACTATTGTCCTATGACCCTGCCAAATCCGCCTCCCCAAGAAACACCCAAGAATGATCAATAAATACTAAAAAAAAAAAAAAAAGAAAAATCACTTCAGTTCTCAATGTTTACCTACTCAAATAAAAAGCATACTAATCTTTTTTAAAAAAAAAAAAGAAAAAAAAAACCTAGCCCATATCAAGTTCTTAGATAAGAATTACCAAGTCCATCTTCCCTAAAATAAACTATGAAATTAATGCAATCCCCCAAAATTACCAACAGGATATCCTTGGCATCTCAGCCAAGCTGATATTAAAGTTCATGTAGGGAAATAAATAAGCCAAAGTAGCCAGGAACTTTATGGAAAAATAGTAATAACAAGTGGAGGAAGATAGTCCTAAGAAAAAATAAATCTATCATGATGCTCTACAAGTTAAAGCAGCACGGTATGAGCATATGAAAAGAACAGACTAGGAATAGATCTAAATATATATTCGATTTTATTAGATGAAAAATGCAGCCTCTCACATCAGTGGGGGAAAAGAGGTACTATTCAATAAATGGTGTCAGAACAGGTGGTTAGCTCTCTGGAAGAAAATGAAAGGATCAGATGTCCCCCATAAACAACTACTCTACTCAGTAGGAAGAAAAAAACCCACAAAACAATAGCATTAGTTCAGTTCAGAAAATCCAGTTCAAGCCAATTATTCAAACAGTTTTTGGGAGGTAACACTGTCCCTATGGGAAGACTTGGTATTTTTCAGATTTCCCTGCTGTTTATCAAGATGGCATATGGGTGTAGGGAGAAGAAGAGGTGCTGGAGCCATCTATCCAGGTCCCTGTACTCTCTCTGGCCCTCTGGTCTCCACAGCAAATGCCCCTGTCCACCTTGTCTCTGGGCACATCTGATGATAACGTCTGTGGCTGGTTTATTGAATTTGTTCTAGGCTTGTGTCCCCCACCGACCACCTGGCTCATCTCAGCTCCCAGCGGCACTGTGTTACCCCTGAGGTTGGCTCCTCTTCAATGTCCAGACCGCTGAGCCACTCTGCAGTCCTCAAATGCAGAGTGATTGGGTCACTCTCCATGGTGTCCATGAGAGGCTGCCAGCCACCTCGGTGGGGTCCTCCCACAATCCTCCATGTGGCACGTGGGGATCTCCAAATGACTTCTGTGCAACAACAGAGCCGAGCCCGGTCCCAGGGGCTGGATGGTGTCCCTCCCTCTGATGGACACCAGCACAGCACGGACTTTCCCGTCCTGTCTCTTCATGGTGGGTGAAGAGCACAGGGAGAGTGTGCTTCCTGGCTGTGTCCTCTCAGAGGCCCTCCAGTCCAGTCTACTCCGGCCTTGGAGATGACTGCCGAGAGAGGGAGGGCGGGCTCTGGGTCACCCAGCTTCATCCTCTTCATCTTGCCAGTTCACCAGAGGCAGAAGGGATGAAGGTTCCCCGATCCCCTTCTCTCCTAAACTGCCCCTAGAGCTAGTCCACCAGGCTTGGCTCCTAATGTGTTAAATGGGGGTGAATGGAATTTAGAAGATCTCTTTTTCTGAAAACTATATATGGCTTTCAAGACTTGCCTTGAGACTCAGAGCTGTTTCACAACCCTTTGTTCCAGGCAGGGCCCAGGATCCCCTTCCAAATTACTGAGGGGCAGTAAGTCCTGGCACTCAGCACATGGCAGGAAGGTCACTTAACCAGGGAAATAAGTATCAGTCAAGTTAATGTTTCCAAAATATACTCCTTGTAACAGACATTACCTAAATTTGGAAAAGTGACACAATTTCAAGCAGCAGTCAACTAAAACGATTCCTTTTGCAATTTAGGTTAATATCATAACTATACCACTGGAGAGAAAGGACAATGAATTAGACGTGTGCCACATACTTCTCTCAAAAACTTTATGACTCAGTTGTCTGGAAGTTGTTTTGTAACCTTCTAAAATTCACACGTCACAAATTCAGAATTTACTATAATTATAATCCTGAACAATCAGGACTGTTAGCTTCCCACGATGAAAGAATGACTAGCTATGATGATTTATATTTCCCAAGAAATTAACAGCAAAAGTTCATATTTAACCTCATTAAGATAATAAATTGCTTTAAACAACTTTGAGCACTTTCTTAGACACTAGTATTACATAGTAATATTCACTATTCGTTAACTGCTGGGAAATTTAAAAATGTTTGTTGATACTCTCTGTTGCTATGTGTCATTGAAAAAAAATGAGAAGAACCAACGAGGTCGCTGTGGTGTAGCGGTGAGAGCGTCTGAGACTCTGGACAAGGCCTTTGCTGTGAACCACGGGGAGAAGGTGGAAGCAGAGTTTGTGGTCAGAAGGCCTCGCTCTGCTCTACATGGTCTATAGACCGCTGGGAAGGTGGCCAGGCACTTCCCTTCTCATCTCCACCTCTTTCTCATGAAATGGGCGTGGTAATAGCCCTTAATTCATGGATTGTCTTGAGGATTAAAAGAGATGGTGCATGTGAAGCTTTTAGCATGATCATGGCATGTAGTAAGCACTCAATACATGGTAACTACTAGCATTATATTGATATTACCTTCAGCAAATAAGTTGATAACATTATATATGTAAACATTTATTTAAAGTATTTTTGTACAATTCCAGGCATAAAGTGGATTCTTTATATGCCTGTTTTAAAAATATGCTGCTTTAAACAGTTCTACAATTCACGCTATTTATTAATGGCCTTTTACCCAATCTGGGACACTATTACAGTTGTGGCTTTACTCAATCTCTTCCTTTTCTTTGGGTAATCTTTTATCTTGAACTACCAAGAGTAGATGAATTGTGAGCTCATATAGCTGGAACAAATCTGACATTGTTGGTTTGTTCAAACAATTTTTTCAAATCAGATTTACAGAGGGATAGAAATGAGAAAAGGAGTTTTATGTTAGGAAAAAAATGGTTTCTGAGAATTCTGAGGCTCTGATCTGATGAGTGAAGGGAACCACAGGCTTATCTGCACATCACTTATACCATTTGGTGAGATCTCTGGAGAATGGAACACCTTCACAGACAACATCAGGGATAAACCTGATCACCGTCCCCTTTGTTGCCACATCTCGCAGCTTCTCCCTTCTGTTTTTCCTCTCACTCTGACTCGAGGAGGGCCCTCAGCGCAGAGAAAATTAAGTCTAGTGTTTGCAGGAGGGCAAGACTGGGAGTGCTGGGGGTGGGGAGGCCAGAGTCCACCACTCTGGCAAAGAGCAGTGTTTATTTGTGTGTTTGAACGTTTGTTCCCTTTGAATATGAAAGAAAAAGAAATGAGGAGTAATTTTAGTAAGGAGGATTTCTAAAGAAGCAGTCATTTGTCAATCTGAAATTTTTTTTAAAGGAAGAATACTTGGGTTGGGCTTACAAGAAAAATAAATTGCAGTAAGTGTTAAAACTTGCCAGTCAATTACAGGAATATATTAGTGTTCCATCGTAGTTTCTAAAACCAGACAAAATCATTTCTTGCAAGCAGGTAATTCCACAGAAGTTTCCAAACCCATGAGTTTCACTCTCAGGTTCCCTCTAGGAGCAGAAGTGCAGGTTTGCTTGGGCTCCTAGCCTCTCCCTCAGCTCCCTCTTTTCCCTCTAATGGATCCCTAGATGCTACTGATGGCTCCCCTAACTGACGGCAAATTGCTTGTGGGCAGGGTCTGTGCCTTGGTTTACAGGTGTACATCCACACAGCTCTTAGCACAGTATTTAGATTCATCGAGTATGTGTGTAATAAAAGGTGTGGCTACGAAAAATCATTTTACAATATTGTCTGGCACATGGCTGGGAAAGATCCTGAGGCTCTGGAGCTGGGGTGTATGGGACCTGGAGCAGGGGTGCCCTACAACTTTGCCCATTTTTATTATTCTGCCAGTGTCATCCCCTCATTTCTACACTTCCTCAGGATCAGAGGCAGGCACACAGGGCATAGACAGAATATGACAAGTCAGAGAGAATTCGAACACTTATTTTAACCTTTTCACCAAATTTTTGTCAGAGAAGGAAATGAAGCAAGATACCAAGGTCAAATCCTCCTCTCTTTTCCTTTTTCCTATCCGCTCTTCTGGTGGAGATGCTCGGCTATAAAACGGCTCAAAAGAACAGCTAGAACATGGAAAAAGCAATGTAATCAGCTGGTGCTGCAAAGGGCAGTGATGTGTGGACGAAGGGGTTGCTGGGGTGACCCAGGCAGCAAGGACCCTGAGGGGGCAGGTAACCAGAAGCTGCCTTGTGGAGGAACTAAACCTCCGGAAGGATTTTTTTTTTTAAGAATGAAATGGGCCGGGCGTGGCGGCTCACTCCTGTAATCACAGCACTTTGGGAGGCCAGGGCGAGTGGATCACCTGAGGTCA